>NT_187475.1:0-1537 GCF_000001405.40 Homo sapiens | reverse complement strand
CTATCCAAATCTCCACTTGCAGATTCTACAAAAAGAGTGTTTCCAAAATGTTGTATCAAAACAAAGGTTCAACTCTGTTAGTTGAGGACACACATCGCAAATAAGTTTCTGAGAATGCTTCTGTCTAGTTTTTATTTGAAGATATTTCCTTTCTTACCATAGGCCTGAAAGCGCTTGAAATGTCCGTTTGCAGATACTACAGAAAGAGTGTTTCAAACATGCTCTATGAAAGGGAATGTTCAGTTCTGTGACGTGAATGCAAACATCACAAAGAAGTTCCTGAGAATGCTTCTCTCTAGATTTTATATGTAATCCCGTTTCGAACGAAATCCTCAAAGCTATCCAAATATCCACTTTCAGATTCCACAAAAAGAGTGTTTCAAAACTGCTCTGTAAAAAGAAAGGTTCATCTCTGTTAGTTGAATACACACATCACAAACAAGTTTCTGAGAATGCTTCTGTCTAGTTTTTATGGGAAGATATTTCCTTTTTCAACATAGGCCTCAAAGCGCTCCAAATGTCCACTTCCAGGTAGTGCAGAAAGAGTGTTTCAAACCTGCTCTATAAAAGGGAATATTCAACTCTGTGACTTGAATGCAAACATCACAAAGCACTTTCTGAGAATGCTTCCATCTAGATTTTATATGAAGATATCCCGTTTCCAAAGAAATCCTCAATTGTATCCAAATATCTACTTCCAGATTCTACAAAAATACTGTTTCAAAACGGCTCTGTCAAAAGTAAGGTTCAACTCTGTTACTTGAGTACACACATCACAAGGAAGTTTCTGAGAATGCTTCTGTCTGGTTTTTAGGAGAAGATATTTCCTTTTTCAACATAGGCCTCAAAGCGCTGCAAATGTCCACTTCCAAATATTACAAAAAGAGTTTTTCAAACCTGCTCTATGAAGGGAAGTGTTCAATTCTATGAGTTGAATGCAAACATCACAGAGAAGTTTCTGAGAATGCTTCCGTCTTGATTTTATATGAAGATATTCTCGTTTCCAACGAAACCTTCAAAGCTATCCAAATATCCACTTGCAGATTCTACAAAAAGAGTGTTTCCAAAATGTTGTATCAAAACAAAGGTTCAACTCTGTTAGTTGAGAACACACATCGCAAATAAGTTTCTGAGAATGCTTCTGTCTAGTTTTTATTTGAAGATATTTCCTTTCTTACCATTGGCCTGAAAGTGCTTGAAATGTCCGTTTGCAGATACTACAGAAAGAGTGTTTCAAACATGCTCTATGAAAGGGAATGTTCAGTTCTGTGACGTGAATGCAAACATCACAAAGAAGTTCCTGAGAATGCTTCTCTCTAGATTTTATATGTAATCCCGTTTCCAACGAAATCCTCAAAGCTATCCAAATATCCACTTTCAGATTCCACAAAAAGAGTGTTTCAAAACTGCTCTGTAAAAAGAAAGGTTCATCTCTGTTAGTTGAATACACACATCACAAACAAGTTTCTGAGAATGCTTCTGTCTAGTTTTTATGGGAAGATATTTCCTTTTTCATCATAGGCCTCAAAGCGCTCCA
>NT_187474.1:0-2387 GCF_000001405.40 Homo sapiens | reverse complement strand
TCTGTGTTAGTTGATACACACATCACAAAGAAGTTTCTGAGAATGCTTCTGTCTAGTTTTTATGGGAAGATATTTCCTTTTTCAACATAGGCCTCAAAGCGCTCCAAATGTCCACTTCCAGGTAGTGCAGAAAGAGTGTTTCAAACCTGCTCTATAAAAGGGAATATTCAAGTCTGTGACTTGAATGCAAACATCACAAAGCACTTTCTGAGAATGCTTCCGTCTAGATTTTATATGAAGATATTCCCGTTTCCAAGGAAATCTTCCTAGCTATCTAAATATCAACTTGCAGATTCTACTAAAGGAATGTTTCCAAAATGCTGTATCCACACAAAGGTTCAACTCTGTTAATTGAGGACATACAGCACAAAGAAGTGTCTGAGAATGCTTCTGTGTAGATTTTATATAAAGATATCCCGTTTCCAAAGAAATCCTCAAAGGTATCCAAATATCTACTTCCAGATTCTACAAAAAGAGTGTTTCAAAACGGCTCTGTCAAAAGTAAGGTTCAACACTGTTACTTGAGTAAACACATCACAAGGAAGTTTCTGAGAATGCTTCTGTCTGGTTTTTAGGAGAAGATATTTCCTTTTTCAACATAGGCCTCAAAGCGCTGCAAATGTCCACTTCCAAATATTTCAAAAAGAGTGTTTCAAACCTGCTCTATGAAGGGAAGTGTTCACCTCTATGAGTTGAATGCAAACATCACAGAGAAGTTTCTGAGAATGCTTCTGTCTTGATTTTATATGAAGATATTCCCGTTTCCAAAGAAACCTTCAAAGCTATCCAAGTATTCACCTGCAGATTCTCCCAAAAGAGTGTTTGCAAAATGTTGTATCAAAACAAAGGTCCTCTGTTAGTTGAGAACACACATCGCAAATAAGTTTCTGAGAATGCTTCTGTCTAGTTTTTATTTGAAGATATTTCCTTTTTCACCACAGGCCTGAAAGCGCTTGAAACGTCCACTTGCAGATACTACAGAAAGAGTGTTTCAAACCTGCTCTATGAAAGGGAATGTTCAGTTCTGTGACTTGAATGCAAACATCAGAAAGAAGTTCCTGAGAATGCTTCTCCCTAGCTTTTATATGTAATCCCGTTTCCAACGAAATCCTCAAAGCTATCCAAATATCCACTTTCAGATTCTACAAAAAGAGTGTTTCAAAACTGCTCTGTAAAAAGAAAGGTTCATCTCTGTTAGTTGAATACACACATCACAAACAAGTTTCTGAGAATGCTTCTGTCTAGTTTCTATGGGAAGATACTTCCTTTTTCAACATAGGCCTCAAAGCGCTCCAAATGTCCACTTCCAGGTAGTGCACTGAGTGTTTCAAACCTGCTCTATAAAAGGGAACATTCTACTCTGTGACTTGAATGAAGACATCACAAAGCAGTTTCTGAGAATGCTTCCGTCTAGATTTTATGTGAAGATATTCCCGTTTCCAAGGAAATCTTCCTAGCTATCTAAATATCAACTTGCAGATTCTACTAAAGGAATGTTTCCAAAATGCTGTATCCACACAAAGGTTCAACTCTGTTAGTTGAGGACATACAGCACAAAGAAGTGTCTGAGAATGCTTCCGTCTAGATTTTATATGAAGATATCCCGTTTCCAAAGAAATCCTCAAAGGTATCCAAATATCTACTTCCAGATTCTACAAAAAGACTGTTTCAAAACTGCTCTGTCAAAAGTAAGGTTCAACTCTGTTACTTGAGTACACACATCACAAGGAAGTTTCTGAGAATGCTTCTGTCTGGTTTTTAGGAGAAGATATTTCCTTTTTCAACATAGGCCTCAAAGCGCTGCAAATGTCCACTTCTAAATATTACAAAAAGAGTGTTTCAAACCTGCTCTATGAAGGGAAGTGTTCACCCCTATGAGTTGAATGCAAACATCACAGAGAATTTTCTGAGAATGCTTCTGTCTTGATTTTATATGAAGATATTCCCGTTTCCAACGAAACCTTCAAAGCTATCCAAATATCCACTTGCAGATTCTACAAAAAGAGTGTTTCCAAAATGTTGTATCAAAAGAAAGGTTCAACTCTGTTAGTTGAGGACACACATCGCAAATAAGTTTCTGAGAATGCTTCTGTCTAGTTTTTATTTGAATATATTTCCTTTCTCACCATAGGCCTGAAAGTGTTTGAAATGTCCGTTTGCAGATACTACAGAAAGAGTGTTTCAAACATGCTCTATGAAAGGGAATGTTCAGTTCTGTGACGTGAATGCAAACATCACAAAGATGTTCCTGAGAATGCTTCTCTCTAGATTTTATATGTAATCCCGTTTTCAATGAAATCCTCAAAGCTATCCAAATATCCACTTTCAGATTCCACAAAAAGAGTGTTTCAAAACTGCTCTGTAAAAAGAAAGGTTCATCTCTGTTA
>NT_187473.1:0-1298 GCF_000001405.40 Homo sapiens | reverse complement strand
GCTTCTGTCTAGTTTTTATTTGAAGATATTTGCTTTTTCACCACAGGCCTGAAAGCGCTTGAAACGTCAGCTTGCAGATACTACAGAAAGAGTGTTTCAAACCTGCACTATGAAAGGGAATGTTCAGTTCTGTGACTTGAATGCAAACATCACAAAGAAGTTCCTGAGAATGCTTCTCCCTAGATTTTATATGTAATCCCGTTTCCAACGAAATCCTCAAAGCTATCCAAATATCCACTTTCAGATTCCACAAAAAGAGTGTTTCAAAACTGCTCTGTAAAAAGAAAGGTTCATCTCTGTTAGTTGAATACACACATCACAAACAAGTTTCTGAGAATGCTTCTGTCTAGTTTCTATGGGAAGATATTTCCTTTTTCAACATAGGCCTCAAAGCGCTCCAAATGTCCAATTCCAGGTAGTGCACTGAGTGTTTCAAACCTGCTCTATAAAAGGGAACATTCTACTCTGTGACTTCAATGAAGACATCACAAAGCAGTTTCTGAGAATGCTTCCGTCTAGATTTTATGTGAAGATATTCCCGTTTCCAAGGAAATCTTCCTAGCTATCTAAATATCAACTTGCAGATTCTACTAAAGGAATGTTTCCAAAATGCTGTATCCACACAAAGGTTCAACTCTGTTAATTGAGGACATACAGCACAAAGTAGTTTCTGAGAATGCTTCCGTCTAGATTTTATATGAAGATATTCCCGTTTCCAAGGAAATCTTCCTATCTAAGTATCAACTTGCAGATTCTACTAAAGGAGTGTTTCCAAAATGCTGTATCCACACAAAGGTTCAACTCTGTTAATTGAGGACATACAGCACAAAGATGTTTCTGAGAATGCTTCTGTCTAGATTTTATATGAAGATATCCCGTTTCCAAAGAAATCCTCAAAGGTATCCAAATATCTACTTCCAGATTCTACAAAAAGACTGTTTCAAAACGGCTCTGTTAAAAGTAAGGTTCAACTCTGTTACTTGAGTACACACATCACAAGGAAGTTTCTGAGAATGCTTCTGTCTGGTTTTTAGGAGAAGATATTTCCTTTTTCAACATAGGCTTCAAAGCGCTGCCAATGTCCACTTCCAAATATTACAAAAAGAGTATTTCAAACCAGCTCTATGAAAGGAAGTGTTCAACTCTATGAGTTGAATGCAAACATCGCAGAGAAGTTTCTGAGAATGCTTCTGTGTTGATTTTATATGAAGATATTCCCCTTTCCAACGAAACCTTCAAACCTATCCAAATATCCACCTGCAGATCCTACAAAAAGAGTGTTTCCAAAATGCTGTATC
>NT_187472.1:0-1045 GCF_000001405.40 Homo sapiens | reverse complement strand
ACTTTTTGATGGGGTTGTTTGTTTTTTTCCTGTAAATTTGTTTGAGTTCATGTAGATTCTGGATATTAGCCCTTTGTCACATGAGTAGGTGTGAAAATTTCTCCCATTTTTTAGGTTGCCTGTTCACTCTGATGGTAGTTTCTTTTGCTGTGCAGAAGTTCTTTAGTTTAATTAGATCCCATTTGTCAATTTTGGCTTTTGTTGCCATTGCTTTAGGTGTTTTAGACATGAAGTCCTTGCCCATGCCTACGTCCTGAATGGTATTGCCTAGGTTTTCTTCTAGGTTTTTTATAGTTTTAGGTCTAACATTTAAGTCTTGAATCCATGTTGAATTGATTTTTGTATAAGGTGTAAGGAAGGGATCCAGTTTCAGCTTTCTACATATGGCTAGCCAGTTTTCCCAGCACCATTTATTAAATAGGGAATCCTTTCCCCATTGCTTGTTTTTCTCAGGTTTGTCAAAGATCAGATAGTTGTACATATGTGGCGTTATTTCTGAGGGCTCTGTTCTGTTCCATTGATCTATATCTCTGTTTTGGTACCAGTACCATGCTGTTTTGGTTACTGTAGCCTTGTAGTATAGTTTGAAGTCAGGTAGTGCGATGCCTCCAGCTTTGTTCTTTTGGCTTAGGATTGACTTGGCGATGCGGGCTCTTTTTTGGTTCCATATTAACTTTAAAGTAGTTTTTTCCAGTTCTGTGAAGAAAGTCATTGGTAGCTTGATGGGGATGGCATTGAATCTGTAAATTACCTTGGACAGTATGGCCATTTTCACGATATTGATTCTTCCTACCCATGAGCATGGAATGTTCTTTCATTTGTTTGTATCCTCTTTTATTTCGTTGAGCAGTGGTTTGTAGTTCTCCTTGAAGAGGTCCTTCACATCCCTTGTAAGTTGGATTCCTAGGTATTTTATTCTCTTTGAAGCAATTGTGAATGGGAGTTCACTCATGATTTGGCTCTCTGTTTGTCTATTGTTGGTGTATAAGAATGCTTGTGATTTTTGTACATTGATTTTGTATCCTGACACTTTGCTGAAGTTGCT
>NT_187471.1:0-1048 GCF_000001405.40 Homo sapiens | reverse complement strand
TGCTTCTATCTCGCATTCATGGGAAGATATTTTCTTTTTCCAGATAGGCTACAAAGCCCGCCAAATATCCACTTCGAGATACTACAAATGGAGTGCTTCACAACTGCTTTATGTGAGGGAATGTTCAATTCTGTGACTTGAATGCAGACACCACAAAGAAGTTTCTGAATGCTGCTGTCTACTTTTTATATGTAATCCCGTTTACAACGAAATCCTCAAAGCCATCCAAATATCCACATGCAGAATCTTCAAAAAGAGTGTTCCAGAAGTACTGCATGAAAAGAAAGGTTCAAGTCCGTTAGTTGAGGACACACATCACAAAAAAGTTTCTGAGAATGCTTCTGTCTTGTTTTTATGGGAAGATATTTCCTTTTTCACCACAGGTAAGAAAGCGCTAGAAATGTCCACTTCCAGATGCTACAAAAAGAGTGTTTCCAACCTGCTCTATGAATGGGAATGTTCCACTCTGTGACTTGAACGCAAACATCGTAAGGAAGTTTCTGAGAATCCTGCTGTCTACTTTTTATATGTAAACCCGTTTCCAACGAAATCCTGAAAGCTATCCAAATATCCACATGCAGAATCTTCAAAAAAGAGTGTTCCAGAAGTACTGCATGAAAAGAAAGGTTCAAGTCTGTTAGTTGAGGACACACATCACAAATAAGTTTCTGAGACTGCTTCTATCTTGTTTTTATGGGAAGATATTTCCTTTTTCACCACAGGCAAGAAGGCGCTCCAAATGTCCACTTCCAGATGCTACAAAAAGAGTGTTTCCAACCTGCTCTATGAACGGGAATGTTCCAGTCTGTGACTTGAATGCAAACATCGTAAGGAAGTTTCTGAGAATGCTGCTGTCTACTTTTTATATGTAATCCCGTTTCCAACGAAATTCTCAAAGCGATACAAATATCCACTTGCAGATTCCAAAAAAAGAGTGTTTCAAACTGCTCTGTCAGTACAAAGGTTCAACACTGTTAGTTGATTGGATGCATCATAAACAAGTTCCTGAGATAGCTTCTATGTCGTTTTTATGGGAAGATATTCCTTT
>NT_187470.1:0-8320 GCF_000001405.40 Homo sapiens | reverse complement strand
CTAGATGACGAGTTAGGGGTGCAGCGCCCCAGCATGCCACATGTATACATATGTAACTACCCTGCACAATGTGCACATGTACCCTTAAAATTTAAAGTATAATAAAAAAATAAAAGAATTAAAAAAATTAAAATAAAAAAAAACAACCCATTTTCTGGGGAGAAAAAAAAAAACTAGACGGATGCATTCTCAGAAACTACTTTTGGATGTGTGCATTCAACTCAAAGAATTTAAAATTTCTTTTGATAGAGCAGTTTTGAAACACTCTTTTTGTAGAATCTGCAAGTGGATATTTGGAAACTTTTGAGCCCTATGGTAGAAAAGGAAATATCTTCATAGGAAAACTAGAAAGAAGCATTCTCGGAAACTACTTCGTGATGTGTGCATTCACCTCACAGAGTTTAACCTTTCTTTAGATACAGCAGTTTTGTAACACTCTTTTTGTAGAATATGCAAGTAGATATTTGGAGAACTTTGAGGGCTATGGTGGAAAAGGAAATACCTTCACATAAAAACTAGACATAAGCATTCTCAGAAACTTCTTTCTGAGATTTGCATTCAACTCACAGAGTTGAACGTTTCTTTTCATAGAGCAGATTTGAAACACTCTTTTTGTAGAATCTGCAAGTGGATATTTGGACTGCTTTGAGGCCTTCCTTGTAAACGGGAATATCTTCACATACAATCTAGACAGAAGCATTCTCAGAAACTTATTTGTGATGTGTGCATTCAACACACAGAGTTAAATCTTTCTTTTGATAGAGCAATTTTGAAACACTCTTTTTGCAGAATCCGCAATTGGATAATTGGGGTGCTTAGAGGCCTATGGTAGAAAAGGAAATATCTACATATAAAAACTAGACAGAAGCATTCTCAGAAACTACTTTGTGATGTGTGCTCACAATTCACATAATTCACCTTTCTTTTGATAGAGCAGTTTTGAGACACTCTTTGTAGAATCTGCATTGGACATTTGGACTGCTTTGAGGCCTTCGTTGGAAATGGGAATATCTTCACTTGAAAACTAGACAGAAGCATTCTCAGAAACTTCTTTGTGATGTGGACATTCAACTCACAGAGTTGAACATTCCTATTGATAGAGCAGTTTTGAACACACTTGTACAATCTGCAAGTGGATAATTGGAGTAATTTGAAGTCTTCGTTGGAAACGGGTATATCTTCACATAAAAACTAGACAGATGCATTCTCAGAAACTATTTTGTGATGTGTGCTCACAATTCACATAATTCACCTTTCTTTTGATAGAGCAGTTTTGAAACACTCTTTTTGTAGCATCTGCATTGGGCATTTGGACTGCTTTGAGGCCTTCGTTGGAAATGGGAATATCTTCACGTGAAAACTAGACAGAAGCATTCTCAGAAACTTCTTTGTGATGTGGACATTCAACTCACAGAGTTGAACATTCCTATTGATAGAGCAGTTTTGAACACACTTGTTGTACAATCTGCAAGTGGATAATTGGAGTAATTTGAAGTCTTCGTTGGAAACGGGTATATCTTCACATAAAAACTAGAAAGATGCATTCTCAGAAAGTTCTTTGTGATGTGTGCATTCAGCTCACAGAGTTGAACCTTCCTATTGATAGAGCAGTTTTGAAACACTCTTTTTGTAGAATCTGCAAGTGGACATGTCGTGCTCTTTGAGGTCTTTGGTGGAAAAGAAAGTATCTTCACATAAAAACCAGACAGAAGCATTCTCAGAAACTTCTTGTAATGTGTGCATTTAACTCACAGAGTTGAACCTTCCTTTTCATAGAGAAGTTTTGATACACTCTTTTTGTAGAATCTGCAAGTAGATATTTGGAGTGCTTTCAGGCCTTCATTGGAAACCGGAATATCTTCACATAAAAACTAGACAGAAGCATTCTCAGAAACTTCCTTGCGATGTGTGCATTCATCTCACAGATTTAGACATTCCTTTTTATTGAGCAGTTTTGAAACACTCTTTTTATAGAATCTGCAAGTGGATAATTGGACTAATTTGAAGCCTTCGTTGGAAACGGGAATATCTTCACATAAAAACTAGACAGATGCATTATTAGAAACTTCATTGTGATGTGTGCGTTCAACTCACAGAGTTTAAACCTCCTTTTGATAGAGCTGTATTGAAACCCTCTTTTTGTAGAATCTGCAAGTGAATATTTGGAGCACTTTGAGGCCTATGGTAAAAAAGGAAATATCTTCATATAAAAGCTAGAAAGAAGCATTCTTAGAAACTAATTTGTGATGTGTGCATTCATCTCACAGAGTTTAACCTTTCTTTTGACAGAGCAGTTAGAAACACTCTTTTTGTAGAATCTGAAACTGTACATTTGGAACACTTTGTGGGCTATGGTGGAAAAAGAAATATCTTCACATAAATTCTAGACAGAAGCATTCTCAGAAACTTCTTTCTGATGTTTGCATTCAACTCACAGAGTTAAACTTTCTTTTGATAGAGCACTTTTGAAACACTCTTTTTGTAGAATCTGCAAGTGGACATTTGTAGAAGTTTAAGGTATATGGTGGAAAAGGAAATATCTTCACATAAAAACTAGACAGAAGCATTCTCAGAAACTTCTTTGTGATGGGTGCATTCAACTCACAGAGTTGAACATTTCTTTTGGTAGAGAAGTTTTGAAACACTCTCTTTGTGGAATCTGCAAGTGGACATATGGAGCACTTTGAGGGCTATGGTGAAAAAAGAAGTATCATCACATAAAAACAAGACAGAGGCATTCTCAGAAACTTCTTTGTGATTTTTGCATTCAACTCACAGTGTTCAACCTTTCTTTTGATAGAGCAGTTTTGAAACACACTTTTTGAAGAATCTGCAAGTGGATATTTGGACTGCTTTGAGGCCTTTGTTGGAAACGGGAATATCTTCACATAAAAACGAGACAGAAGCATTCTCAGAAAGTACTTTGTTATGTGTGCATTCAACTCACAGAGTTGAACACTCGTTTTGATACAGAAGTTTTGAAACACTGTTTTTGTAGGATCTGAAAGTGCATATTTGGAGCCCTTTGAGGCCTATTGTACAAAAGGAAATATCTTGATATAAAAACTAGAAAGAAGCATTCTCAGAAACTAGTTGTGATGTGTGCATTCGACTCACAGAGTTGAATGTTTCTTTTGACAGAGCAGTGTTGAAACTCTCTTTTGTAGCATCTGCATGTGGACATTTGGAGCACGTGAGGGCTATCGTGGAAAAGGAAAGATCTTCACATAAAAACTAGACAGAAGCATTCTCCGAAACTTCTTTGTGTTGTTTGCATTCAACCCACGGAGTTGAACCATCCTTTTCATTGAGCAGTTTTGAAACACTCTTTTTGTAGAATTTGCAAGTGGATATTTGGACTGCTTTGAGGCCATCGTTGGAAACGGGAATATCTTTACCTAAAAACTAGACAGAAGCATTCTCAGAAACTTCTTTGTGATGTGTGCATTCAACTCACTGAGTTGAACTTTCCTTTTGATAGAGCAGTTTTGAAACACTCTTTTTGTAGAATCTGCAATTGGATATTTGGAGCGCTTTGAGGAATACAGTAGAAAAGGAAATATCTTCATATAAAAACTAGAAAGAAGCAGTCTCAGAAACTACTTTTTGATGTGTGCTTACAACTCACAGAGTTAAACTTTCTTTTGAGAGAGCAATTTTGAAACACTCTTTTTGCAGAATCCGCAATTGGATAATTGGGGTGCTTAGAGGCCTATGGTAGAAAAGGAAATATCTACATATAAAAACTAGACAGAAGCATTCTCAGAAACTACTTTGTGATGTGTGCATTTATCTCACGGAGTTTAACTTTTCTTTTGATAGAGCAGTTTTGAAACAATATTTTTGTAGATTCTGAAAGTGGACTTTTGGAGCACATTGAGGGCTATGGTGGAAAAGGAAATATCTTCACAGAAAAACTAGATAGAAGCATTCTCAGAAACTTCTTTGTGATGAATGCATTCAACTCATAGAAGTGAACACTACTTTGATAGCTCGGTTTTGAAACACTCTTTTTTAGAATCTGCAAGTGGGTATTTGCAGCCCTTTGAGGCCTATGGTAGAAAAGGAAATATCTTCATATAAAAACTAGAAAGAAGCATTCTCAGAAACTACTATGGGATGTGTGCACTCAACTCACAGAGTTTAACGTTTCTTTTGATATAGCAGTCTTACAACACTCTTTTTGTAGAATCTTCAAGTGGATATTTGGAGCACTTTGAAGGCTAAGTTGGAAAAGGAAATAAATTCACATAAAAACTAGAATGAAGCATTCTCAGAAACGTCTTTGTGATGTTTGCATTTAACTAACAGAGTTGAACATTTCTTTTCATGGAGCAGTTTTGAAACACTCTTTTTGTAGAATCTGCAAGTTGATTTTTGGACTGCTTTCAGGCCTCCGTTGGAAACGGGAATATCCTCAGATAAAAACTAGACAGAAACATTCTCAGAAACTTCTTTGTGATGTGTGCATTCAACACACAGATTTGAACCTTCCTTTTGATAGAGCAGATTTGAAACCCTGTTTTTGTAGAATCTACAAGTGGATAGTTAGAGTGCTTTGAAGCCTTCAATGGAAACAGTAATATCTTCACATAAAAACTAGACAGAAGCATTCACAGAAACATTTGTGATGCGTCCATTCAACTTCGAGAGGTGAACCCCTCTTTTGATTGAGCAGTTTTGAAACACTCTTTTTGTAGAATCTGGAAGTGGATATTTGGAACCCTTTGAGGGCTATGGAGAAAAGGAAATATCTTCACATAAAAACTAGAAAGAAGCATTCTCAGAAACTGCTTTGTGATGTGTACATTCAATTCACAGAGTTTAACCTTTCTTTTGATAGAGAAGTTTTGAAACACTCTTTTTGTAGTGTCTGCATGTGGACATTTGGAGCACTCTGAGGGCAGTGGTGGAAAAGGAAATTCCTTCACATAAAAACTAGACAGAAGCATTCTCAGAAACTTATTGTGATGAGTGCATTCAGCTCACAGATTTGAACCTTCCTTTTAATAAAGCAGTTTTGAAACACTTTTTGCAGAATCTGCAAGTGGATATTTTGAGGGCTTTGAGGCTTACGGTAGAAAAGGAAATATATTCATATAAAAACTAGAAAGAAGCATTCTCAGAAACTACATTGTGAAGTGTGCATTCAACTCACAGAGGTTAACCTTTCTTTCCTTAGAGAAGTTTTGAAATACTCTTTTTGTAGAATCTGCAAGTGGATATTTGAAGCACTTTGAGGGCTATGGTGGAAAAGGAAATATCTTCACATAAAAACTAGACAGAAGCATTCTCACAAACTTCTTTTGATGTGTGCATTCAACTCACAGAGTTGAACCTTTCTTTTGTTAGAGCAGTTTTGAAAAACTCTTTTTGTACAATCTGCAGGTGGATATTTGGACTTATTTGAGGCCTTCATTGGAAATGGGAGTATCTTCACATAAAAACTTGACAGACGCATTCTCAGAAACTACTTTGTGATGTGTGCATTCAACTCACAGAGTTGAGCCTTCCTTTTGATAGAGCAGTTTTGAAACACTCTTTTTGCAGAATCTGCAAGTGGATAGTTTGAGGGCTTTGAGGCTTATGGTAGAAAAGGAAATATATTCATATAAAAACTAGAAAGAAGCATTCTCAGAAACTACTTTGTGAAGTGTGCATTCAACTCACAGAGATTAACCTTTCTTTTCTTAGAGAAGTTTTGAAACACTCTTTTTGTAGAATCTGCAAGTGGATGTTTGAAGCACTTTGAAGGCTATGGTGGAAAAGGAAATATCTTCACATAAAAACTAGACAGAAGCATTCTCACAAACTTCTTTTGATGTGTGCATTCAACTCACAGAGTTGAACCTTTCTTTTGTTAGAGCAGTTTTGAAAAACTCTTTTTGTAGAATCTGCAGGTGGATATTTGGACTGATTTGATGCCTTCATTGAAAATGGGAGTATCTTCACATAAAAACTTGACAGACGCATTCTCAGAAACTACTTTGTGATGTGTGCATTCAACTCACAGAGTTGAACCTTTCTTTTGATAGAGCAGTTTTGAAACACTCTTTTTGTAGAATCCACAAGTGGATATTAGGAGTGCTTTAAGCCTTCGTTGGAAACTGGAATATCTTCACATAAAAACTAGACAGAAGCATTCTAAGAAACTTCTTTGGAATGTGTGTATTCAGCTCACGGAGTTGAACCCTCCTTTTGATAGAGTGGTTTTGAAACATTCCTTTTCTGTAATCTGCAAGTGGATTTTGGGAATGCTTTGAGGCCTATGGTAGAAAAGGAAATGTCTTCATATAAAAATTAGAAAGAAGCATTCTTAGAAACTACTTTGTGACGTCTGCATTCAACCTAAAGTGTTTAAATTTTCTTTTGATAGAGTAGTTTCAAAAAACTCTTTTTGTAATATCTGCAAGTGGACATTTGGAGCACTTTGAGGTCTATGGTGGAAAAGGATATATCTTTACATAAAAATTAGACAGAAGTATTCTCAGAAACATGTCTGTGATTTCTGCATTCAACTCAGAGAGTTGAGCCTTTCTTTTCATAGAGCAGTTTTGAAACACTCTTTTTGTAGAAACTGCAAGTGCATAATTGTACCCCTTTGAGAACTTCGTTGGAAACGACTTTATCTACACATAAAACTAGATCGAACCATTCTCAGAAACTTCTTTCTGATGTGCTCATTCAACTCACAGAGTTGAACATTCCTTTTGATAGAGCAGTATTGAAATTCTCTTTTTCTAGGATCTGCAAGTGGATTTTTGGAGTGCTTTGAAGTCTTCATTGGAAAAGGGAATATCTTTACATAAAAACTAGACAGAATCATTCTCAGAAACTTCTTTGTGATGTTTGCATTCTACTCACAGAGTTGAACCTTGCTTTTGATGGAGCAGTTTTGAAACACTCTTTTTGTAGAATCTGCTAGTGGATATTTGGAGAGATTGAAGCCTTCTTTGGAAACGGGAATATCTTCACATAAAAACTAGACAGAAGCATTCTCAGAAGCTTCTTTGGGATGAGTGCATCCAACTCAGAGAGTTGAACCTTCCTTTTGATAGAGCAGTTTTGAAACACTTTTTTTTTGTAGAATCTGCAAGTGGACATTTGGAGCACTTGGAGGGCTGTGGTGTAAAAGGAAATATCTTCACATAAAAACTAGACAGAAGCATTCTCAGAAACTTCTTTGTGATGTTCTCATTCAACTCACAGAGTTGAACATTTCTTTTCATAGAACAGTTTTGAAACAATCTTTTTGTAGAATCTGCAAGTGGATATTTGGACTGCTTTCAGGCCTTCTTTGGAAACGGAAATATTTTCCCATAAAAACTAGACTGAAGCATTCTCAGAAACTACTTACTGATGTGTGCATTCATCTCACAGTTTTGAACATTTCTTTCGGTAGAGCAGTTTTGACACACTCTTTTTGTAGAATCTGGAAGTCTATATTTTGAGTCCTTTGAAGCCTTCGTTGGAAACGGGAATATCTTCACATAAAAGCTAGACAGACGCATTCTCACAAACTACTTTGTGATGTGTCCATTCAACTCACAGAGTTGAACTTTCCTTTTGGTAGAGCAGTTTGGAAACACTCTTTTGTAGAGTCTGCAAGTGGATATTCAGAGTGCTTTGAAGCTTTCGTTGGAAACGGGAATATCTTCACATAAAAACTAGACAGAAACATTCTCAGAAACTTCTTTGTGATGTGGGCATTCAACTCACAGAGTTGAACCTTCCTTTTGAGAGAGACGTTTTGAAACACTCTTTTAGTAGAATCTGCAACTGGATATTTGGAGTGCTTTGAAGCCTTCGTTGGAAACAGGAATATCTTAACATAAAAACTAGACAGAAGCATTCTCAGAAACTTCTTTGTGATGTGTGCATTCAACCCACAGAGTTGAACCTTCCTTTTGGTAGAGCAGTTTTGAAACACTCTTTTTGTAGAATCTGCAGGTGGATATTTGGAGTGCTTTCAGGCCTATGATAGAAAAGGAAATATCTTCATATAAAAACTAGACAGAAGCATTTTCAGAAACTACTTTGTGATGTGTGCATTCAATTCACAGAGTTTAACCTTTCTTTGGATAGAGCAGTTTTGAAACACTCTTTTTTTAGAATCTACAAGTGTACCTTTTTAGCATATTGAGGGCTATAATGGAAAAGGAAACATATACATATAAAAACTATACCGAAGCATTCTGAGAAACGTTTTGTGACTTTTGCATTCAACTCACAGGGTTGAACATTTCTTTTGATAGAGCAGTTCCGAAACACTCTTTTTGTAGGATCTGCAAGTGGATGTCTTGACCGCTTGAGGCTTTCG
>NT_187469.1:0-3530 GCF_000001405.40 Homo sapiens | reverse complement strand
GTGATGTGTACATTCAACTCAGAGAGTTGAACTTTCTTTTGGTAGAGCAGTTTTGAATCAGTCTTTTTGTAGAATCTGCAAGTGGTTGTTTTGAACCATTTGAGGCTATGGTAGAAAATGTAATATCTTCATATCAAAACTAGACTGAAGCATTCTCAGAAACCACTTTTTGTTGTGTACATTCAACTCAGAGAGTTGAAACTTTGTTTTGATATAGCAGTTTTGAAACACTCTTTTTGTAGAATCTGCAAGTGGACATATCGAGCTTTTTGAGGTATTCGGTGGAAAAGGAAGTATCTTCCCCTATAAACCAGACAGAATCATTCTCAAAAACTTCTTTGTGATATGTGCATTCGACTCACAGAGATGAACCTTCCTTTTTATAGAGCAGTTTTGAAATACTCTTTTTGTACAATCTACAGGTGGATATTTGGAGTGCTTTGAAGCCTTCATTGGAAACGGGAATATCTTCACATAAAAACTAGAAAGAAGCATTCCCAGAAACTTCTTTGTGATGTTTGCCTTCAACTAACAGAGTTGAACCTTCTTTTTGATGGAGAGTTTTGAAACACTCTTTTTATAGAATCTGCATGTGGATATTTGGAGTGCTTTGAGGCCTATTGTAGAAAATGAAACATCTTCTAATAAAAACTAGACGGAAGCATTCTCAGAAACTACTTTGTGATGTTTGTATTCAACTCAGAGGGTTGAACCTTTCCTTTGATAGAACAGTTTTGAATCACTCTTTTTGTAGTATCTGCAAGTGGATATTTGGACCGCTTTGAGGCTTTCTTTGGAAACGGGAATATCTTTACATAAAAACTAGACAGAAGCATTCTCAGAAAAGTCTTTTTGATGTGTGCATTCAGCTCACAGAGTTGAACCTTCCTTTTGATAGAGCAGTTTTGAGACACTCTTTTTGTAGAATCTGTAAGTGGATATTTGAAGTGATTTGAAGCCTTCAAAGGAAACGGGAATATCATAAAAACTAGATAGAATCATTCTCAGAAACTTCTACGTTATGTTTGCATTCAACTCAGAGAGTTGAACGTTTCATTTCATACATCAGTTTTGCAGCACTCTTTTTGTAGAATCTGCAAATGGACACTTGCAGCACTTTGAGGGCTATGGTGGAAAAGGAAATATCTTTACATAAAAACTAGACAGAAGCATTCTCAGAAACATCTTTGTGATGTTTTCATTCAACTCAGAGAGTTGAACATTTCTTTTGATAAAGCAGTTTTGAAACACTCTTTTTCTAGAATCTGAAAGTGAATATTTGGAGTGCTTTGAAGCCTTCATTGGAAACAGGAATATCTTCACATAAAAACTAGACAGAAACGTTCTCAAAGACTACTTTTTAATGTGTGCATTCAACTCAGAGAGTTTAACCTTTCTTTGATATACCAGTTTTGAAACACACTTTTTGTAGAATCTGCAAGTGGACATTTGGAGCACTTTGAGGGCTATGGTAGAAAAGGAAATATCTTCACATAAAAACTAGACAGAAGCATTCTCAGTAAGTTTTTTGTGATGTTTGCCTTCAACTCAGAGAGTTGAACCTTTCTTTTGATAGAGCAGTTTTGAAACACTCTTTATGTAGGATCTGCAAGTGGATATTTGGACCGCTTTGAGGCCTTCGTTGGAAACGGGAATATCTTCACATAAAAACTAGACAGAAGGATTCTCATAAACATTTTTGTGACGTGTGCCTTCATCTCACAGAGTTGAACGTTCCTTTTGATAGAGCAGTTTTGAAACACTCTTTGTAGAATGTGCAAGTCGATATTTCGAGTGCTTTGAAGCCTTCATTGGAAAAGGGAATATCTTCAAATAAAAACTAGTGAGAAGCATTCTCAGAAACTTCTATGTGATGTGGGCATTCAACTCACGGAGTTGAACCCTTTTTTTGATAAGGCAGTTTTGAAACGCTCTTTTTGTAGAATCTGAAATTGGATATTTGGAGTCATTTGAGGGCTACAGGGCAAAAGAAAATATCTTCATATAAAAACTACGCAGAAGCATTCTCAGAAACTACTTTGTGATGAGTGCATTCAACTCACAGTGTTGAACCTTTCTTTTGATAGAGCAGTTTTGAAACACTCTTTTTGTAGAATCTGCAAGTGGACATTTGGAGCACTTAGAGGGCCATGGTGGAAAGGGAAATATCTTCACATAAAAACTAGACAGAAGCATTCCCACAAATTTCTTTGTGATATTTGTATTCCACTCAAGGAGTTGAACCATTCTCTTCATAGAGCAGTTTTGAAGCACTTTTTTTGTAGAACCTGCAAGTGGATATTTGGACCGCTTTGAGGTCTTCCTTGGAAACGAGAATATCTTCACATAAAAAGTAGACTGAAGCATTCTCAGAAACTTCCTTGTGATGTCTCCTTACAACTCACAGAATTTAACCTTTCTTTTGATAGAACAATTTTAAAACACTCTTTTTGTAGAATCTGCCAGTGGATAATTGGAGTGCTTTGAACTCTTCGTTGGAAACGGGAATATATTCACATAAAAACTAGACAGGAGCATTCTCAAAAGCTGTTTTGCGATGTGTCCATTCAACTCACAGATTTTAACATATGTTTTGACGGAGCAGATTTGAAACACTCTTTTTGTAGAATCTGCAATTGGACATTTTGAGCACTTCGAGGGCTATGGTGGAAAAGGAAATATCTTCACATAAAAACTAGACAGAAGCATTCTCAGAAGCTTCCTTGTGATGTTTGCATTCAACTCAGAGAGTTGAACATTTCTTTTGATAGATCCGTTTTGAAACACTCTTTTTCAAGGATCTGCAAGTGGATATTTAGATGGCTATGAGGTCTTCTTTGGAAACAAGAATACCTTCACATAAAATCTAGACAGAAGCATTCTCAGAAACTTCTTTGACATGTGTGCATTCAACTCACCCAGTTGAATCTTCCTCTTGATAGAGCCATTTTGAAACATTCTTTTTGTAGTATCTGCAAGTGGATGTTTGGATTGCTTTGAAGCATCCGTTGGAAATGGGAATATCTTCAAATGAAAAGTAGACAGAAGCATTCTCATAAACTTTTTTGTGATGTGTGCATTCAACTCACAGATTTGAAATCTCCTTTTGATAGAGCTGTTTTGAAACACTATTTTTGTAGAATCTGCAAGTGGATATTTGGAGTGTTTTGAAGCCTAAGGCAAAAAGGAGATATCTACATATAAAAATGAGACAGAAGCATTCTGAGAAACTTCTTTGTGATGTGTGCATTCAACCCACAGATTTCAACCTTTCTTTGGATAGAGCAGATTTGAAACACTCTTTTTTTAGAATCTGCAAGTGGATATTTGGCCAGTTTTCAGGGCTTTATTGGAAATGAGAATATCTTCACATAAAAACTAGACAGAAGCATTCTCAGAAGCTTCTTTGTGATGTTTGCATTCAACTCAGAGTTGAACATTTCTTTTGATAGAGCCGTTTTGAAACACTCTTTCTGAAGGATCTGCAAGTGGATATTTGGACGGCTATGAGGTCTTCTTTGGAAACGGGA
>NT_187468.1:0-2855 GCF_000001405.40 Homo sapiens | reverse complement strand
CATAGCTCAGAGTAATTTGATCTTCTGAAGCCTTCTTCTTTCAGCTCTTCAAAGTCGTTCTCCGTCCAGCTTTGTTCCGTTGCTGGTGAGGAACTGCATTCCTTTGAAGGAGGAGAGGCGCTCTCAGAGTTGAATTTTTCTTTTGACTGTGGAGTTTGGAAACACTCTGTTTGTAGAATCTGCAAGGGGATATTTGGAGACCTTTGTTGCCTTTTGTGGAAAAGGAATATCTTCAGATAAAAACTACACAGAAGCATTCTGATGAATTTCTTTGTGATGTGTGCATTCATCTCACAGAGTTGAACTTTGTTTGGACTCAGTAGTTTTGAAACACTCTTTATGTAGAATCTGCAAGTGGATATTTGTAGCGCTTTGGGTCCTTTTGTGGAAAAGGAAATATCTTCACCTAAAAACTACACAGAAGCATTCTGAGAAACTTCTTTGTGATGTGTGCATTCTTCTCATGGAGCTAAACCTTTCTTTTTATTGAGCAATTTGGAAACACTCTTTTTGTAGAATCTGCAAGTGGTCACTTTGAGCACTTTCAGGCCTATGGTGGAAAAGAAAATATCTTCACATATAAACTACACAGAAACATTCTGAGAATCTTCTTTGTGATGTGTGTATTAAACTCACAGAGTTGAACCTATCTTTTGATGGAGCAGTTTTGAAACTCTCTTTTTGTAGAATCTGGAAGTGGATATTGGGGAGCTTTGAGGTCTATTGTGGAAAGGGAAATATCTTCACATAAAACCTACACAGAAGCATATTGAGAAAATTCTTGTGATGTGTGCATTCACCTCACAGAGTTGAACCTTTCTTTTGATTGAATACTTTTGAATCACTCGTTTTGTAGAATCTGCAAGTGGATGTTTGGAGAGCTTTGAGGAAAAGGAAATATCTTCACATAAAAACTACACAGACCATTCTGAGAAACTTCTTTGCCATGTGTGCATTCATTTCACAAAGTGAACTTTTCTTTTGATACTGCAGTTTTTCAGCACTCTTTTTGTAGAATCTGCAAGTAGATATTTGGAGCACCTTGAGGCCTCTAGTGGAAAAGGAAATATCCTCACATAAAAATTACACAGAAGTATTCTGAGAAACTTCTTTGTGATGTTTACTTTCATGTCACAGATTTGAACCTGACTTTGGATTGAACAGTTTTGAAACACTCTTTTTGTAGAATCTGCAAGAGGATGGATGGAGCGCTTTGAGGAAATGGTGGAAAACGAAATATCTTCACATAAAAACTACACAGAAGTATTCAGAGAAACTTCTTTGTTATGTGTGCATTCATCTCACAAATTTAAACCTTTCTTTTGATAGAGCAGTTTTGAAACTCTCTTTTTGTAGAATCTAAGGTGAATATTTGAAGCCCTTTGCAGCCAACGGTGGAAAAGGAAATATCTTCACATGAAAACTACACAGAGTCATTCTCAGAAACTTCTTTGTGATGTGTGAATTCATCTCACAGAGTTGAAGCTTTCTTTTGATTGAGCAGTTTTGAAAAACATCTTTTGTAGAATCTGCAAATGGATATTTGGAGCGCCTTGAGGCCTATTTTGGAAAAAGAAATATATACACATAAAAACTACACAGAAGCATTCTGATAAACTTCTTTGTGATGTGTGCATTCATCTGACTGAGTTGAAGCTTTCTTTTGATTGAGCAGTTTGGAAACACTCTTTTTGAAGAATCTGCTAGTGGATATTTGGAGTGGTTTCAGGCCAATGGTGGAAAAGGCAATATCTTCACATAAAAACTACACAGAAGAATTCTGAGAAACTTCTTTTGGATGTGTGCATTCAACTCACAGATTTGAACCTATCTTTTGATTGAGCAGTTTTGAACCTCTCTTTTTGTAGAATCTGCAAGTGGGGATTTGGATCCCTTTGTGGTCAATGATGGAAAAGGAAATATCTTCACATAAAAACTTTGCAGAAGTATTCTGAGAAACTTATTTGCAATGTCTTCATTCATCTCGTAAGGTTAAACCTTTCCTTTGATTCAGCAGTTTTGAAACATTCTTTTTGTAAAATCTGCAAGTGGATATTTGGGGTGCTTTGAGGTTTATTGTGGAAAAGGATATATCTTCATATAAAACCTACACAGAAGCGTTCTGAGAAACTTCTTTGTGATCTGTGCATTCATCTCACAGAATTGAACCTTTCTTTTGATTGAGTAGTTTTGAAACACTCTTTTTGTAACTTCTGCAAGTGGATATTTGGAGCTATTTGAGGCCTATTGTGGAAAAGGAAATATTTTCACATAGAAACTACACAGAAGCATTCTGAGAAACTTCTTTGTGATGTGTGCATTCATCTCACAGAGTTGAACCTTTTTTTTTTTGTTCAGCAATTTTGAAACACTCTTTTTGTAGAATCTGCTAGTGGATATTTGGAGCTCGTTGAGGCCTATTGTGAAAAAGTAAATATCTTCACATAAAAACTATGTGGAAGTTTTCTGACACATTTCTTTGTGATGTGTAAATTCAACTCACAAGTTGACCTATCTGTTGTTTGAGCAGTTCTGAAACTCTTTTAGTAGAATCTGCAAATGGATATTTGGAGCCCTTTGTGGCCTATGGTGGAAAAGGAAATATCTTCACATAAAAACTACCCAGAAGCATTCTGAGACACTTCTTTGTGATGTGTGCATTCAACTCGCAGACTTGAACGTATCTTTTGATTCAGCAGTTTTGTATCTCTCTTTTTGTAGAATCTGCAAGTGGATATTTTGTGTCCTTCGTGGCCTACTGTGGAAAAGGAAATATCTTCACATAAAAACTACACATAAGCATTCTGAGAAACTTCTTTGTGATGTGTGCATTCATCTCATAGAGTTGAACATGT
>NT_187467.1:0-1803 GCF_000001405.40 Homo sapiens | reverse complement strand
GCAACTCCGAGGCACATAATTGTCAGATTCACCAAAGTTGAAATGAAGGAAAAAATGTTAAGGGCAGCCAGAGAGAAAGGTCGGGTTACCCTCACGAAGGGAAGCTCATCAGACTAACAGTGGATCTCTCGGCAGAAACTCTACAAGCCAGAAGACAGTGGGGGCCAATATTCAACATTCTTAAAGAAAATAATTTTCAACCCAGAATTTCATATCCAGCCAAACTAAGCTTCATAAGTGAAGGAGAAATAAAATACTTTACAAACAAGCAAATGCTGAGAGATTTTGTCACCACAAGGACTGCCCTAAAAGAGCTCCTGAAGGAAGCACTCAACATGGAAAGGAACAACCGGTATCAGCCACTGCAAAATCATACCAAAATGTAAAGACCATCAAGGCTAGGAAGAAACTGCATCAACTAACGAGCAAAATCACCAGCTAACATCATAATGACAGGATCAAATTCACACATAACAGTGTTAACTTTAAATGTAAATGGACTAAATGCTCCAATTAAAAGACACAGACTGGCAAATTGGATAAAGAGTCAAGACCCATCAGTGTGCTGTATTCAGGAAACCCATCTCATGTGCAGAGACACACATAGGCTTCAAATAAAGGGATGGAGGAAGATCTACCAAGCAAATGGAAAACAAAAAAAGGCAGGGGTTGCAATCCTAGTCTCTGATAAAACAGACTTTAAACCAACAAAGATCAAAAGAGACAAAGAAGGCCATTACATAATGGTAAAGGGATCAATTCAACAAGAAGAGCTAACTATCTTAAATATATATGCACCCAATACAGGAGCACCCAAACTCATAAAGCAAGTCCCGAGTGACCTACAAAGAGACTTAGACTCCCACACATTAATAATGGGAGAATTTAACACCCCACTGTCAACTTCAGACAGATCAACAAGACAGAAATTCAACAAGGATACCCAGGAATTGAACTCAGCTCTGCACCAAGCGGACCTAATAAACATCTACAGAACTCTGCACCCCAAATCAACAGAATATACATTTTTTTCAGCAACACAACACACCTATTCCAAAATTGACCACATACTGGGAAGTAAAGCTCTCCTCAGCAAATGGAAAAGGACAGAAATTATAACAAACTATCTCTCAGACCACAGTGCAATCAAACTAGAACTCAGGATTAAGAATCTCAGTCAAAAACGCTCAACTACATGGAAACTGAACAACCTGCTCCTGAATGACTACTGGGTACATAACGAAATGAAGGCAGAAATAAAGACATTCTTTGAAACCAATGAGAACAAAGACACAACATACCAGAATCTCTGGGATGCATTCAAAGCAGTGTGTAGAGGGAAATTTATAGCACTAAATGCCCACAAGAGAAAGCAGGAAAGATCCAAAATTGACACCTGAACATCACAATTAAAAGAACTAGAAAAGCAAGAGCAAACACATTCAAAAGCTAGCAGAAGGCAAGAAATAACTAAAATCAGAGCAGAACTGAAGGAAATAGAGACACAAAAAAACCCTTCAAAAAATTAACGAATCCAGGAGCTGTTTTTATGAAAGGATCAACAAAGTAGATAGACTGCTAGCAAGACTAATAAGGAAGAAAAAAGAAAAGAATCAAATAGATGCAATAAAAACTGATAAAGGGGATATCACCACCAATCACACAGAAATACAAACTACCATCAGAGAATACTATAAACACCTCTACACAAATAAACTAGAAAATCTAGAAGAAATGGATACATTCCTCGACACATACACTCTCCCAAGACTAAAACAGGGAGAAGTTGAATCTCTGAATAGA
>NT_187466.1:0-1121 GCF_000001405.40 Homo sapiens | reverse complement strand
CTTTTATTTTAGGTGCAGTATATAATACATACTTTGGGTACTTTGATATTGTATGTACAGTATATAATACATACTTTGGGTACTTTGATATTTTATGTACGGTACATAATACATATTTTGGGTACTTTGATATATTATGTACAGTATATAATACATACTTAGGGTAGTTTGACATTTTATGTACAGTATATAATGCATACTTTGGGTACTTTGATATTTTATGTACAGGATATAATATATAGTTTGGGTACTTTGATATTTTATGTACAGTACATAATACATACTTTGGGTACTTTGATATTTTATGTACAGTATATAATACATACTTTGGGTACTTTGATATTTTATGTACAGTATATAATACATACTTTGGGTACTTTGATATTTCGTGTACAGTACATAATACATACTTTGTGTACTTTGATATTTTATGTACAGTGTATAATACATACATTGAGTACATTGGTATTTTATGTACAGTAGATAATACATACTTTGGGTACTGTGATATTTTAATTACAGTATATAATACATACTTTGGGTACTTTGATATTTTATGTACGGTATATAATACATGCTTTGGGTACTTTGATATTTTATGTACAGTATACAATATATACTTTGAGTACTTTGATATTTTATGTCCAGTATAGAATATATAGTTTTGGTAGTTTGATATTTTATGTATAGTATATAGTTGGAGTACATGGATATTTTATGTACACTTTACTATAAAGGTTTGGATACTTTCATATTTTATGTACAGTATATAATACATACTTTGAGCACTTTGATATTTTATGTACAGTATACTATACATACTTTGGGTACTTTGATATTTTATGTACAGTATATAATACATACTTTGGGTACTTTGATATTTTATGTACAGTATATAATGCATACTTTGGGTACTTTCATGTTTTATGTACAGTATGTAATGCATACTTTGGGTACTTTGATATTTTATGTACAGTATATAATACACACTTTGGGTACTTTGATATTCTATGTACAGTATATAATACATACTTTGGGTACTTTCATATTTTATGTACAGTATATAATATATAGTTTGGGTACTTTGATATTTTATCTACAGCTTATAATACATACTTTGG
>NT_187465.1:0-1026 GCF_000001405.40 Homo sapiens | reverse complement strand
TACTTTGGGTATGTTGATATTTTATGTACAATATGTAATACATACCTTGGGTACTTTGATATTTTATGTACAGTATATAATACATACTTTGGGTACTTTGATATTTTATGTACAGTATATAATACATACTTTGGGTATTTTTATATTTTATGTACAGTATATAATACATACTTTGGGCACTTTGATATTTTATGTACAGTATACAATACATACTTTGGGTACTTTGATATTTTATGTACAGTATACAATACATACTTGGGGTACTCTGAGATTTTATGTACAGTATATAATGCATACTTTGGGTACTTTGATATTTTATGTACAGTATACAATACATACTTTGAGTACTTTGATATTTTATGTCCACTATAAAATATATAGTTTTGGTACTTTGATATTTTATATACAGTATATATTTTGAGTACTTTGATATTTTTTATACAGTTTATTATAAATGTTTGGGTACTTTCATATTTTATGTACAGTGTATAATACATACTTTGGGCACTTTGATATTTTGTGTATAGTATACAGTACATACTTTGGGTACTTTGATATATTATGTACAGTATATAATACATAATTTGGGTACTTTGTTATTTTATGTACAGTATATAATACATAATTTGGTTGCCTTGATACTTTATGTACAGTATATAATACATACTTTGGTTACTTTTATATTTTATGGACAGTATATAATACATACTTTGGGCACTTTGATATTTTATATACAGTATACAATACATACTTTGGGTACTTTGATATTTTATGTACAGTATATAATACATACTTTGGGTACTTTGATATTTTATATACAGTATACAATGCATACGTTGGGTACTTTGATATTTTATGTACAGTATATAATACATACTTTGGGTACTTTGATATTTTATGTACAGTATACTATATATAGTTTGGGTACTTTGATATTTTATGTACGGTATTCAATATATAGTATTTGTACTTTGATATTTCATGTACAAGATATAGTTTGAGTACTTTGATATTTTATGTACAGTT
>NT_187464.1:0-1428 GCF_000001405.40 Homo sapiens | reverse complement strand
GAGCTCCAAATATCCTCAAGCAGATTCTGCAAAAGCAGGATTTCAAGACAGCTCTATCAAAAGGAAAGTTGAACTCTGTGAGTTGAGTTCACACATCCCTAAATGTTTCTGAGAATGCTTCTGTCTAGTTTATATGTGAAGATATTTCACTTTCCACCATGAGCCTCTAAGCGCTCCAAATGAACACTTGCAGAGTATGCAGAAAGAATGTTTCCAATCTTCTCTATCAAAGGAAAGATTCAACTCTGTGAGTTGAATGGACATATCACAAAGAACTGTCTGAGAATACTTCTGTCTAGCTTTTATGTGAAGATATTTCCTTTTCCACCGTAGGCTTCAAAGCGCTCCAAATGAACACTTGCAGATTCTACAAAAAGAATGCTTCTAAACTGCTGTATCAAAGAAAGCGTTCAACTCTGTGAGTTGAATGCACACATCCCAAAGCAGTTTCTGAGAATGCTTCTGTTTAGTTTTTATGTGAAGATATTTTGCTTTCCACCATAAGCCTTCAAAGCGCTCCAAAGGAACACTTGCAGATTATGCACAGAGAATGCCTCAAATCTGCTCTATCAAAAGAAAGGTTGGACTCTGTGAGTTCAATGGACACATCACAAAGCAGTTTCTGAGAATGCTTCTGTCCGGTTTTTCTGTGAAGATATTTCCTTTTGCACCCTAGGCTTCAAAGCGCTCCAAATGAACACTTGCAGATTCTACAAAAAGAATGTTTCAAAACTGCTCTATCAAAGACGGAGTTCAACCCTTTGACTTCAATGAACACAACACAGAGCAGTTTCTGAGAATGCTTCTGTGTAGTTTTTATCCGAAGATATTTCCTTTTCCACCATAGGCCTCAAATCGCTCCAAATATCCACTTGTAGATCGTAAGAAAACACTGTTTCAAAACTGCTTTCTCAAAAGGAAGGTTCAACTCTTTGAGTTCAATGCGCACATCACAAGGAACTGTCTGAGCAAACTTCCGTCTAGTTTTTATGTGACGATATTACCATTTCCACCGCAGGTTTCGAAGCGCTCCAAAAGAACACTTGCAGATACTGCAACAAGAATGTTTCACAACTGCTCTATCAAAGAAAGCGTTCACCTCTGTGAGTTGAATGCACACATCCCAAAGCAGTTTCTGAGAATGCTTCTGTGTAGCTTCCATGTGAAGGTATCTCCTTTTCCACCATAGGCCTCATATCGCTCCAAATATCCACTTCCTGATACTGCAAAAACACTGTTTCAGAGCTGCTCTCCCAAAGGAAGGTTCAACTCTGTGAGTTGAATGCAGACATCACAAAAAAGTTTCTGAGAATGCTTCCGTCCAGTTTGTATGTGCAGATACCCCGTTTACAACGAATTCCTCAAGAGCTCCAAATATCCTCAAGCAGATTCTACAAAAGCAGTATTTCAAGACTGCTCTATCAAAAG
>NT_187463.1:0-1428 GCF_000001405.40 Homo sapiens | reverse complement strand
ACTGCTCTATCAAGAAAGCGTTCACCTCTGTGAGTTGAATGCACACATCCCAAAGCAGTTTCTGAGAATGCTTCTGTGTAGCTTCCATGTGAAGGTATCTCCTTTTCCACCATAGGCCTCATATCGCTCCAAATATCCACTTGGGTGATACTGCAAAAACACTGTTTCAGAGCTGCTCTCCCAAAGGAAGGTTCAGCTCTGTGAGTTGAATGCAGACATCACAAAAAAGTTTCTGAGAATGCTTCCGTCCAGTTTGTATGTGCAGATACCCCGTTTACAACGAATTCCTCAAGAGCTCCAAATATCCTCAAGCAGATTCTACAAAAGCAGTATTTCAAGACTGCTCTATCAAAAGGAAGGGTGAACTCTGTGAGTTGAATCCACATATCCCAAAAAAGTTTCTGAGAATAGTTGTGTCTAGTTTGTATGTGCGGACATCCCGTTTACAGCGAATTCCTCAAAGAGCTCCAAATGTCCTCAGGCAGATTCTGCAAAAGCAGTGCTGCAAAACTGCTCTATCGAAAGAAAGGTTGAACTCTGTGAGTTGAGTTCACACATCACAAAAAGTCTCTGACCATGTTTCTATCTACCTTGTATGTGCAGATATCCCGTTTACAACGAATTCCTCAAAGACCTACAAATATCCTCAAGCTGATTCTAGAAAAGGATGGTTTCAAAACTGATCTATCCAAAAAGACCTTCAACTCTGTGACTTGAATGCACACAACACAAAATTTTCTGAGAATGCTTCAGTCTAGATTGTATGTGGAGATATCTCGTTTGCCACGAATTCCTCCAAGAGCTCCAAATATCCTGAAGCAGATTCTACCCAAGCAGTGTTTCAAGAATGCTCTATCAATAGGAAGGTTGAATTTTGTGAGTTGAATCCACACATCACGAAAAAGTTTCTGGGAATGCTTCTGTCTAATTTGTATGTGCAGATATCCCGATTGCAACGAATTCCTCAAAGAGCTCCAAATATCCTGAAGCAGATTCTTCAAAAGCAGTATTTCAAGACTGCTCTATCAAAAGGAAGGTTGAACTGTGTGAGTTGAATCCACACATCCCAAAAAAAGGTTCTGAGAACGCTTCTGTCAATTTTGTGCAGATATCCCGTTGGCAACGAATTCCTGAAAGAGCTCCAAATATCCTCAAGCAGATTCTGCAAAAGCAGGATTTCAAGACACCTCTATCAAAAGGAAAGTTGAACTCCGTGAGTTGAGTTCACACATCCCTAAATGTTTCTGAGAATGCTTCTGTCTAGTTTATATGTGAAGATATTTCACTTTCCACCATGAGCCTCTAAGCGCTCCAAATGAACACTTGCAGAGTATGCAGAAAGAATGTTTCCAATCTTCTCTATCAAAGGAAAGATTCAACTCTGTGAGTTGAATGGACATATCACAAAGAACTGTCTGAGAATACTTC
>NT_187462.1:0-1048 GCF_000001405.40 Homo sapiens | reverse complement strand
GTGTAGTTTTTATCTGAAGATATTTCCTTTTCCACCATAGGCCTCAAATCGCTCCAAATATCCACTTGTAGATCGTAAGAAAACACTGTTTCAAAACTGCTTTCTCAAAAGGAAGGTTCAACTCTTTGAGTTCAATGCGCACATCACAAGGAACTGTCTGAGCAAACTTCCGTCTAGTTTTTATGTGACGATATTACCATTTCCACCGCAGGTTTCGAAGCGCTCCAAAAGAACACTTGCAGATACTGCAACAAGAATGTTTCACAACTGCTCTATCAAAGAAAGCGTTCACCTCTGTGAGTTGAATGCACACATCCCAAAGCAGTTTCTGAGAATGCTTCTGTGTAGCTTCCATGTGAAGGTATCTCCTTTTCCACCATAGGCCTCATATCGCTCCAAATATCCACTTCCTGATACTGCAAAAACACTGTTTCAGAGCTGCTCTCCCAAAGGAAGGTTCAACTCTGTGAGTTGAATGCAGACATCACAAAAAAGTTTCTGAGAATGCTTCCGTCCAGTTTGTATGTGCAGATACCCCGTTTACAACGAATTCCTCAAGAGCTCCAAATATCCTCAAGCAGATTCTACAAAAGCAGTATTTCAAGACTGCTCTATCAAAAGGAAGGGTGAACTCTGTGAGTTGAATCCACACATCCCAAAAAAGTTTCTGAGAATAGTTGTGTCTAGTTTGTATGTGCGGACATCCCGTTTACAACGAATTCCTCAAAGAGCTCCAAATGTCCTCAGGCAGATTCTACAAAAGCAGTGCTGCAAAACTGCTCTATCAAAAGAAAGGTTGAACTCTGTGAGTTGAGTTCACACATCACAAAAAAGTCTCTGACCATGTTTCTGTCTACCTTGTATGTGCAGATATCCCGTTTACAACGAATTCCTCAAAGACCTACAAATATCCTCAAGCTGATTCTAGAAAAGGATGGTTTCAAAACTGATCTATCCAAAAAGACGTTCAACTCTGTGACTTGAATGCACACAACACAAAATTTTCTGAGAATGCTTCTGTCTAGATTGTATGTGGAGATATCTCGTT
>NT_187461.1:0-2699 GCF_000001405.40 Homo sapiens | reverse complement strand
ACAATACATACTTTGGGTACTTTGATATATTATGTACAGTATATAATACATAATTTGGGTACTTTGATATTTTATGTACACTTTATTATAAATGTTTAGGTACTTTCCTATTTTATGTACAGTATATAATACATAATTTGGGCACTTTGGTATTTTATGTACAGTATAAAATACATAAATTGGGTTCTTTGATATTTTATGTACAGTATATAATACATACTTTGGGTACTTTTATATTTTATGTACAGTATATAATACATACTTTGGGTAGTTTTATATTTTATGTACAGTATATAATACATACTTTGCGTACTTTGATATATTATGTAGACTATATAATACCTACTTTGGGTACTTTGATATATTATGTACAGTATATAATACATCCTATGGGCACTTTGATATTTTATGTACAGTATACCATACATACTTTGGGTACTTTGATATTTTATGTACAGTATACAATACATACTTTGGGTTCTTTGATATTTTATGTACAGTATATAATGCATACTTTGTGTACTTTGATATTTTATGTACAGTATACAATACATACTTTGAGTAATTGGATATTTTATGTCCAGTATAAAATATATAGTTTTGGTACTTTGATATTTTATATACAGTATATAGTTTGAGTACTTTGATATTTTATGTACAGTTTATTATAAATGTTTGGCTACTTTCATATTTTACGTACAGTATATAATACATACGTTGGAGACTTTGATATTTTGTGTACAGTATACAATACATATTTGGGTACTTTGATATATTATGTACACTATATAATACATAATTTGGGTACTTTGATATTTTATATACAGTATATAATACATAATTTGTGTGCTTTGATACTTTATGTACCGTATATAATACCTACTTTGCGTAGTTTTATATTTTGTGTACTGTAGATAATACATACTTTGCGTACTTTGATATATTATGTACAGTATATAATACATACTTTGGGTACTTTGATATATTATGTACAGTATATAATATGTACTTTGGGTACTTTGATATTTTATGTACAGTATATAATACATACTTTGGGTACTTTGATATTTTATGTACAGTATATAATACATAATTTGGGTACTTTTATATTTTATGTACAGTATATAATACATACTTTGGGCCCTTTGATATTTTATGTACAGTATACAATACATACTTTGGGTAATTTGATATTTTATGTACAGTATATAATACATACTTTGGGTACATTGATATTTTATGTACAGTATATAATACACAATTTGGGTACTTTGATATTTTATGTACAGTATGTAATATATACTTTGGGCACTTTGATATTTTATGTACAGTATATAATACATACTTAGGGTACTTTCATATTTTATGTACAGTATATAATACATACTTTGGTACTTTCAAATTTTATGTACAGTATATAATATATAGTTTGGGTACTTTGATATTTTATCTTCAACTTAAAATACATATTTTGGGTACTTTGATATTTTATGTACAGTATATAATACATACTTTGGGTACTTTTATATTTTATGTACAGTATACAATATTTAGTTTGAGTACTTTGATATTTTATGTCCAGTATAAAATATATAGTTTTGGTACTTTGATATTTTATGTGCAGTATATCATTTGAGTACTTTGATATTTTATGTACAGTTTATTATAAATGTTTGCGTACTTTCATATTTTATGTACAGTATATAATACATACTTTGGGCACTATGATATTTTATGTACAGTATACAATACATACTTTGGGTACTTTGATATTTTATGTACAGTATATAATACATACTTTGGGTACTTTGATATTTTATGTACAGTATATAGTTTGAGTACTTTTATATTTTATGTCCAGTATAAAATATATAGTTTTGGTACTTTGATATTTTATGTGCAGTATATCGTTTGAGTGCTTTGATATCTTATGTACAGTTTATTATAAATGTTTGCGTACTTTCATATTTTATGTACAGTATATAATACATACTTTGGCACTATGATATTTTATGTACAGTATACAATACATACTTTGGGTACTTTGATATTTTATGTACAGTATATAATACATACTTTGGCCTCTTTGATATTTTATATACAGTATATAATACATACTTTGGGTACTTTGATATTTTATGTACAGTATATAATACATACTTGGGTACTTTGATATTTTATGTACAGTATAAAATGCATACTTTGTGTACTTTGATATTTTATGTACAGTATATAATGCATACTTTGGGTACTTTCTTATTTTATGTACAGTATATAATACATACTTTGGGTACTTTGATATTTTATGTACAGTATATAATACATACTTTGGGTACTTTCATATTTTATGTACAGTATATAATATATAGTTTGGGTACTTTGTGATTTTATGTACGGTATACAATATATAGTATTGGTACTTTGATATTTCATGTACAGTATATAGATTGACTACTTTGAAATTTTATGTAGAGTTTATTATAAGTGTTTGGGTACTTTCATATTTTATGTACAGTATATAATACATACCTTGGGTACTTTTATTTTATGTACAGTATATAATACATACATTGGGTACTTTGATATTTTATGTACAGTATATAATACCCAATTTGGGAACTTTGATATTTTATGTACAGTATGTAATATATACTTTGGGTACTTTGATATTTTATGTACAGTATATAATACACACTTTG
>NT_187460.1:0-1368 GCF_000001405.40 Homo sapiens | reverse complement strand
CCATGTGAAGGTATCTCCTTTTCCACCATAGGCCTCATATCGCTCCAAATATCCACTTCCTGATACTGCAAAAACACTGTTTCAGAGCTGCTCTCCCAAAGGAAGGTTCAACTCTGTGAGTTGAATGCAGACATCACAAAAAAGTTTCTGAGAATGCTTCCGTCCAGTTTGTATGTGCAGATACCCCGTTTACAACGAATTCCTCAAGAGCTCCAAATATCCTCAAGCAGATTCTACAAAAGCAGTATTTCAAGACTGCTCTATCAAAAGGAAGGGTGAACTCTGTGAGTTGAATCCACACATCCCAAAAAAGTTTCTGAGAATAGTTGTGTCTAGTTTGTATGTGCGGACATCCCGTTTACAACGAATTCCTCAAAGAGCTCCAAATGTCCTCAGGCAGATTCTACAAAAGCAGTGCTGCAAAACTGCTCTATCAAAAGAAAGGTTGAACTCTGTGAGTTGAGTTCACACATCACAAAAAAGTCTCTGACCATGTTTCTGTCTACCTTGTATGTGCAGATATCCCGTTTACAACGAATTCCTCAAAGACCTACAAATATCCTCAAGCTGATTCTAGAAAAGGATGGTTTCAAAACTGATCTATCCAAAAAGACGTTCAACTCTGTGACTTGAATGCACACAACACAAAATTTTCTGAGAATGCTTCTGTCTAGATTGTATGTGGAGATATCTCGTTTGCCACGAATTCCTCCAAGAGCTCCAAATATCCTCAAGCAGATTCTACCCAAGCAGGGTTTCAGGAATGCTCTATCAAAAGGAAGGTTGAATTCTGTGAGTTGAATCCACACATCACGAAAAAGTTTCTGGGAATGCTTCTGTCTAATTTGTATGTGCAGATATCCCGATTGCAACGAATTCCTCAAAGAGCTCCAAATATCCTGAAGCAGATTCTTCAAAAGCAGTATTTCAAGACTGCTCTATCAAAAGGAAGGTTGAACTGTGTGAGTTGAATCCACACATCCCAAAAAAAGTTTCTGAGAATGCTTCTGTCAATTTTGTGCAGATATCCCGTTGGCAACGAATTCCTGAAAGAGCTCCAAATATCCTCAAGCAGATTCTGCAAAAGCAGGATTTCAAGACAGCTCTATCAAAAGGAAAGTTGAACTCTGTGAGTTGAGTTCACACATCCCTAAATGTTTCTGAGAATGCTTCTATCTAGTTTATATGTGAAGATATTTCACTTTCCACCATGAGCCTCTAAGCGCTCCAAATGAACACTTGCAGAGTATGCAGAAAGAACGTTTCCAATCTTCTCTATCAAAGGAAAGATTCAACTCTGTGAGTTGAATGGACATATCACAAAGAACTGTCTGAGAATACTTCTGTCTAGCTTTTATGTGAAGATAT
>NT_187459.1:0-1040 GCF_000001405.40 Homo sapiens | reverse complement strand
AGCTTCCTTTCAATAGAGCAGTCTTGTAACTCTCTTTTTGTAGAATTTCCAAGTGGATATTTAGCGCCGTTTGAGGCCTATGGTGGAAAAGGCGATATCTTCCTAGAAAAACTAGACAGAATGATTCTCAGAAACTACTGTGTGATGTGTGCCTTCAACTCACAGAGTTTAACCTTTCTTTTGATAGAGCAGTTTTGAAAAACTCTTTTTGTAGAATCTGCAAGTGTATATTGGGACTTTTCTGAGGCCATCTTTGGAAACGGGATTTCTTCATATAAAATTTGAAAGAAGAATCCTCAGAAAATTATTTGTGATATGTGCGTTTAACTCATGGAGTTGAAACTTCCTTTCGATAGAAGAGTTTTGAAATACTCTTTTTGTAGAATTTCCAAGTGGATTTTTACAGTGGTTTGAGGTCTATGGCAGAAAAAGGAATATCTTCACAGAAAAACTAGGCAGATTCATTCTCCGAAGCTGTTTTGTGATGCTTGCATTAAGCGGACACAGTTTAAACTTCCTTTGATAGAGCAGTTTGGAAACACTCTTTTTGTGGAATTTGCAAGTGTATATTTAGAGCGTTTTGAGGCCTACAGTAGGAAAGGAAATATCTTCACATAAAAACTACACAGAAGTATTGTCAGAAACTTACTTGTGATATTTGCATTCAACGCACAGAGTTGAACATTCCTCTTGATGGAGCAGTTTTGAAACACTCTTTTTGCAGAATCTGCAGGTGGATATTTGGACCTCTTTGTGGCCTTCGTTTGAAACGTGATTTCTTCATTTACAACTAGACAGAAGAATTCTCAGAAACTTCTTTGTGATGTGTACCTTCAACTCACAGAGGTGAAGCTTCCTTTCAATAGAGCACTTTTGAACCTCAGTTTTGGTAGAATTTCCAGGTGGATATTTAGCGCCGTTTGAGGCCTATGGTAGAAAAGGCAATATCTTCGTAGGAGAACTAGACACAATGATTCTCAGAAGCTACTTTGTGATGTGTGGGTTCAACTCACTGAGTTTAACCTTTCTTTGATAGACCA
>NT_187458.1:0-1652 GCF_000001405.40 Homo sapiens | reverse complement strand
TATCCACTCCCAATCAGTCTGCCATTGTTAATGGTGTACAGCATTACTGAATACAACGGAATTGATGACGCCCATATCCACAGACAAACCGTGACTTATGATGGTTTGATTTATGATTTTTCAACGTTATGATGGGTTTATTGGAATATTAGATTCGTTTCTGAGTTACACTGGGTTTATGAGTATGCGACCCTACACTCCAGAAACAGCTGTATAAGGAAAAACAGGTGTACCTAATAAAAATATGCTTAGTGACTTGGGATAAACCAATAGATGTTCACAAGTGATGGAGAGCCGTGAAAGAGAGATAGCGGTAAATAGTTACAATAACACAATTTTCCTGCACCTGTCGAGGATTTCCCCCAAAAAACGCAGAATGTGGGATGCACCTAAGGCATATGAAAGAGAGAGGGCAGAAGGAGTAAGAGAGAAATAGGAGGAAGGAAGGAAGGAAGCAAGGAAGAAAGGAAGGAAGGAAAGAAGGAAGGTAGGACGGAAGGAAGGAAGGAAGGAAGGAAGGAAGGAAAGAAGGATGAAAGGAAGAAGAAAACACCGGTGTTACTAAAACCCCCCAAAAAATGGTTTTCCCCTGTGGGTAAGCCTACAATGTGGATGAATCTTGAAAATATTGTGCTACGTGTTATGTCAGTCATAGCAGCTCACCTATTGTGCAATTCCGTTTATAGGAAATGTCCACAATATGGAAATCTATGCATATGGGATTGATCGCACTAGGTAGTTGCTACCGAGGGCTGAGGGTCAGGGAGAGGGTTTGAGACAGAAGGAGGAGTGACTAATGTCTACAGCGTTTTTCTCTGGTCGGGGGTGATATGACGTTTTACAATGGATTGCGAATTAAAATTGAATGTGCACAACCACAGGTATACTAAAAGCCACTCAATTCCTGACTTTTAATGGGGGAATCTTATGTGGCGCAGTCTCATGGAGACCACGGCAGACATAGTGAGAGAGAAAAAGGTGAGTAAATATCTGAAACAGAGGCAGAAACAGAGAGAATGAAATGCCCTGTGAATGGAAGGGAGAGTGAAAAGGGAAAATGGTCCTATTTACAAATGACAGATGTGAAACTGGGGTTCACATCAACAGTGTCACTGCCAGGAAGGAGGGTCATGCTAGCCATGTCACCGGTAGTGTGGCCCGCAGGGACGCCGACCTGCTGGAGCGTCGTGCCAGCATGGGCTGTGGCAACCACGTGGGCCAGCAGGAAGTTCCCGCTGCACAGCTGTGGGGTGAGGATAGACTGGGTGGTGATATCGGCCATTACAGGGGCCTCTTCTGCTGGCAAGAGTGTGACAGTAGCAAGTAGATGGACAGGCCTGCGTGTGAGGACGGAATGCAGGAGGGGTTCTTGTGCGCCTGGGTGTGGGGCCCTCACGGGAACCATGGAGAAATGGCCAGGTAACTGCGTCATGTGGGCTAGTAGATTGGCCAGAGCTACGAACTGAAGGACGATAACGGGGAGTAGCTGTCAGGCCCTGGGAGTGCCTGAGTGTAAGTGGAGATGGGTTTGGGGTCACTGAGGGATGCGTGGGAGCCATCCCTGTATAGGTACAGGTCATAGGGAGATAGTCTCGTGAGGCCTGTGAGTGTCTAGGGTTGTCCTGGGTGCCTGGGGCTGACTGGGCAGAAAT
>NT_187457.1:0-5796 GCF_000001405.40 Homo sapiens | reverse complement strand
AGTGGAATGTGATGGGATGGATTGGAGTGAAATGGAGTGGAGTGGACTGGACTGGACTGGAGTGGATTGGAGTGGAATGGAGTGGAATGTAATGGGATGGTTTGGGATGGAGTGGAGTGGACTGGAGGGGTTTATAGTGGAATGGAGTGGATGGAATGGAATGGAGTTGAGTGGAGTGAAGTGGAGTGGAGTGCAGTGGAATGTTATGGAATGGAATGGAATGGAATTGAATGGAATGGAATGCAATGGAATGCTGAAGTGAAATGTCAGCTGAGATTGCTCCACTGCACTCCAGCCTGGGTGACAGAGTGAGATCCTGTCGAAAGAAAGGAATGGAATGGAATGGAATGGTGTGGTATGGAATGTAATGGAAGGGAGTGTAGTGTAGTCTACTGTACTGTAGTGGAGTGGAGTGGAGTTGAATTCAATGGGATGGCATGAAAGGGAGTGGAAGTGAGTGGAGTGGAATGCAGTGTACTGGAATGGAGTGGGATTGATTGGAATGGAGTGGAGTGGAGTGCAGCAGAGTGTAGTGAAATGGAATGGAATGGAGTGGAATGGAATGTTGAAATGTCATGTGAGCTGAGATTGTGCCACTTCACTCCAGGCTTGTCGACAGGGTGAGATACTGTTAAAAGAAAGGAGTGGAATGGAGTGGAGTTGAATGCAATGGGATGGAATACAATGGAGTGAAGTGGAGTCGAGTGAAGTGGATTGGAGTGGAGTGGAATGGAGAGAACTGGAATCTGATGGAATGGAATGGAGTGGAGTGGAGTGGAATGGAATGGAATGGAGTGGGGTGGAGTGTAGTGTAGTGGAATGGAGTGGAATGGAATGGGACAGAATGGAATGCATTGGAGTGGATTGGAGCACTTTGAGGCCTATGGTGGAAAAGTAAATATCTTTACATAAAACCTAGACAGAACATTCTGAGAAACTTCTTTGTGATGTGTGCGTTCTTCTCACAGAGTTGAATCTTTTTATTGAGCAGTTTGGAAACACTCTTTTTGTAGATTTTGCAAGTGGACATTTGGAGTGATTTGAGGCATATTTTTAAAAAAAATCTTCACATGAAAACTAGATAGAAGCATTCTGACGAACTTCTTTGTGATATGTGCATTCATCTCAAAGAGTTGAACCTTTCTTTTGATTCAGCAGTTTTGAAACACCGTTTTTGTACTATCAGCAAGTGGACATTTGGCATGCATTGAGGCCTATGATGGAAAAGGAAATATGTTCACAATAACTAGACAGAAGCATTCTGACAAATTTCTTTGTGATGTGTGCATTCATCTCACAAGTTTGAACCTTTGATTTGATTGAACAGCTTTGAAACACTGTACAATCTACGTGTGGAAATTTGGAGTGCTTCGAAGCCTATGGTGGAAAAGGAAGTATCTTCATATAAAAACTATACAGAAACATTCTGACAAACTTCTTTGTGATGTGTGCATTCATCTCACAGATTTGAACCTTTCTTTTCATTGAGCAGTTTTGAAACACGTTTTTGTAGAATCTGTAAGTGTATATTTGGAGAGTTTTCAGGCCTACGGTGGAAAAGGAAATATCTTCACATAAAAACTAGACAGAAGCATTCTGAGAAACTCCTCTGTGATGTGTGCATTCATCTCAAAGAGTTGAAACTTCCTTTTGATGTACCAGTTTTGAAATACTCTTTTTGTAGAATCTGCAAGTGGACATTTGGAACGCATTGGGGCCTATGGTAGAAAAGGATACATCTTCATTTAAAATCTAGACAAAAGCAATCTGAGAAACTTCTTTGTGATGTGCGCATTCATGTCACAGAGTTAAACCTTTCTTTTGATTGAGCAGTTTTGAAACTCTCCTTTGTAGAATCTGCAAGTGGAGATTAAGAGCCCTTTGAGGCCTATGGTGGAAAACGAAATATCTTCACATAAAAAGTAGACAGAAGATTTCTGAGTAACTTCTTTGTGAAGCATGCGTTCATCTCACAGAGTTGAACCTTTCTTTTGATTGAGCAGTTTAGAGACACCCTTTTGTAAAATCTCCCAGTGGACATTGGGAGCGCTTTGCAGCCTACAGCAGAAAAGGAAATATTTTCACATAAAATCTTGAGAGAAGCAATCTTAGAAACTTCTCTGTGATGTGTGCATTCCTCTCACTGAGTGAAACCTTTCTTTTGATTGAGCAGTTTTGAAACTCTCTTTTTGTTGAATCTGCAATTGGACATTGGGAGCACTTTGAGGCCTAAGGTGGAAAAGGAAATATCTTCACATAAAAACTAGACAGAAGTATTCTGAGAAATTTCTTTTTTATGTGTGCATTCATCTGACAGAGTTGAACCTTTGTTTGATTGAGCAGTATGGAAACACTCTTTCTGTAGAATCTGCAAGTGGACATTTGGAGCGATTTGAGGCCCATGGTAGAAAAGGAACTATCTTCACATAAAATCTAGACAGAAGCAATCTGAGAAACTTCTTTGTGATATGCGCATTTATCTCACAGAGTTAAACCTTTATTTTGATTGAGCAGTTTTAAAACGCTCTTTTTGTAGGATCTGCAAGTGGACATTTGGAGCACTTTGAGGCCAATGGTGGAAAAGGAAATATCTTCACATAAAAACAAGATTGAAGTATTCAGAGAAACTTCTTTGTGTTGTGTGCATTCATCTCCAGGAGTTGAACCTTCCTTTTGATGTACAAGTTTTGAAATACTCTTTTTGTAGAATCTGCAAGTGGACATTTGGAGGGCCTTGGGGCCTATGGTAGAAAAGGATATATCTTCACTTAAAATCTAGACAGAAATAATCTAAGAAATTTATTTGTGATGTGTGCATTCATGTCACAGAGTTAAAACTTTTTTTTGATTGAGCAGTTTTGAAACTCTCTTTTGTAGAACCTGCAAGTGGAGATTAAGAGCTCTTTGTGGCCCATGGTGGAAAACCAAATATCTTCACATAAAAACTAGACAGAAGACTTCTGAGTAACTTCTTTGTGAAGCATGCGTTCATCTCACAGAGTTGAGACTTTCTTTTGATTGATCAGTTTGGAGACACTCTTTTGTAAAATCTCCCAGTGGACATTTGGAGCACTTTGCGGCCTACAGTAGAAAAGGAAATATCTTCACATAAAATCTTGACAGAAGCAATCTTAGAAACTTCTCTGTGATGTGTGCATTCATCTCACTGAGTGATACCATTCTTTTGAGTGAGAGTTTTGAAACTCTCTTTTTGTTGAATTTGCAATTGGACATTGGGAGCACTTTGAGGACTAAGGAGGAAAAGGAAATATCTTCACATAAACTCTTGACAGAAGCAATCATATAAACTTCTTTGTGATGTGTGCATTCATCTCACTGAGTGAAACCTTTCTTTTGATTGAGCAGTTTGGAAACACTCTTTTTGTAGAATCTGCATGTGGACATTTGGAGCGATTTGAGGCCTATGGTACAGAAGGAAATATCTTAACATAAAATCTAGACAGAAGCAATCTGAGAAACTTCTTTGTGATGTGTGCATTCATCTCACAGTGTTAAACCTTTCTTTTCATTGAGCAGTTTTAAAACTCTCTTTTTGTAGGATCTGCAAGTGGACATTTGGAGCACTTTGAGGCCTATGATGGAAAAGGAAATATCTTCACTTAAAAAATAAACAGAAGAATTCTGAGAAACTTCTTTGTGATGTGTGCATTTATCTCACAGAGTTGAACCTTTCTTTTGATAGAGAAGTTTGGAAACACTCTTTCTGTAGAATCTTTAAGTGGACATTTTGTTCACCTTTTGGCCTGGGTTAGAAAAGGAAATACCTTCACATAAAATCTAGATAGAAGCAATCTGAGAAACTAATTTGTGATGTGTGCATTCATCTCACAGTGTTAAATATTTCTTTTCATTGAGGAGTTTTCAGGCTCTCTTTCTGTAGAATATGCAAGTGGAAATTTGAAGCGCTTTGAGGACTATGGTAGAAAACGAAATATCTTCACATAAAAACTATATAGAAGAATTCTGAGAAACTTCCCTGTTATGTGTAGGTACATCTCACCGAGTTGAACATTTCTTTTGATTCAGCATTTTGGAAACAATCTTTTAGTAGATTCTGCAAGTGGACATTTGGAGCGCTTTGCGGCCTATGCCTGAAAAGGTAAGATCCTCACATAAAATCTAGACAGAAGCAATCTGAGAAACTCCTTTGTGATGTGTGCATTAACCTCAAAGAGTTTAAACTTTCCTTTGATTGAGGAGATTCAAAGCTCTCTTTTTGTAGAGTCTGCAAGTTTACATTTGGAGCGCTTTGAGGACCATGGTGGAAAAGGAAATATCTTAACATAAAAACTAGGCAGAAGAATTCTGAGAAACTTCTTGGTGATGTGTGCATTCATCTCGCAGAGTAGAACCTTTCCTTTGACTGAGCAGTTTGGAAACACTCTTTTTGTAGAGTCTGCTATTGGACATTTGGAGCGCTTTGCAGCCTATGGTAGTAAAAAAGAAAATCTTCACAAAAAATCTAGACAGAAGCAATCTGATAAACTTCTTTGAGATGTGTGCATTCAACTTACATAATTAAACCTTTTTTTTTTGATTGTGCATTTTGGAAACTCTCTTTTTGTAGAAGCAGCAAGCAGACATTTGGAGTACTTTGTGGTGTATGGTTGAAAAGGAAATATCTTCACATAAAAACAAGACAGAAGAATTCTGAGAAACCACTTTGTGATGTGTGCATTCCTCTCATGGAGTTGAAACTTTCTTTTTATTGAGAAGTATGGAGACACTGTTTTTGTAGAATCTGTAAGTGGACATTTGGAGGGCTTTGAGGCCCATGGTGGAAAAGGAAATATGTTAAAATAAAAAATAAGCAGAAGAATTCTGAGAAACTTGTTTGTGTCGTGTCCATTCATCTCACAAAGTTCAACCTTTCCTTTGAATGAGCAGTTTGGAAACACTCTTTTTGTAGAATCTGCAATTGGACATTTGGAGCGCTTTGCAGCCTATGGTATAAAAGGAAAAATCTTCACATAAAATCTAGACAGAAGCAATCTGAGAAACTTTTTTGAGATGTGTGCATTCATCCCACAGAGTTAAACCTTTCTTTTGATTGAGCAGTTTTGAAACTCTCTTTTTGTAGAATCTGCAAGTGGCCATTTGGAGTACTTGGAGGCCTATGGTGGAAAAGGAAATATCTTCACATAAAAAATAGGCAGAAGAATTCTGAGAAACTTCTTTGTGATGTGTGTGTTCATCCCACAAAGTTGAACCTTTATTTTCTTGAGCAGTATGGAAACAGTCTTTTTGTCAAAGCTGCTAGTGGACTTTTGGAGAGCTTTGCAGTTTATTGAATAAAAAGAAATATCTTCACATTAAATCAAGGCAGAAGCAATCTGAGAAACTACTTTGTGATGTGTGCACTCATCTAACAGAGTTAAAATTGTCTTTTTATTGAGCAATTTTGAAACTCTCTTTTTGAAGAATCAGTAAGTGGACGTTTGGAGTGCCTTGAGGCCTATGATGGAAAAGGAAATATCTTCACATAAAAACTAGACAGTAGATTTCTGAGAAACTTCTTTCTGATGTGTGCATTCACCTCAAAAATTTAAACATTTCTTTTGATTGGGAGTTTTGAAACTCTCTTTTTGTAGAATCTGCAAATGGACATTTGGAGAGCTTGGACACCTATGGTGGAAAAGGAAATATCTTCAAATAAAAACTAGGTAGAAGAATCCTGAGAAACTTCTTTGTGATGTGTGCGATTGTTTTTAGGCCTATGGTGGAAAAGGAAATATCTTCACATAAAAACTAGACAGAGATTTCTGAGAAACTTCT
>NT_187456.1:0-3041 GCF_000001405.40 Homo sapiens | reverse complement strand
AATCAAAAGAAAGGTTTAACACTGTGAGATGAATGCACACATCAGAAAGTAGTTTCTCAGTTTGCTTTTGTCTAGATTTTATGTAAAGATATTACCTTTTCTACCATAAAGCGCTCCAAATGTCCACTTGCAGATTCTACAAATAGAGTGTTTCCAAACTGCTCAATCAAAAGAAAGGTACAACTCTGTGAAATGAACGCACATGTAACAAAGAAGTTTCTCAGAATTCTTCTGTCTACTTTTTATGTGAAGATATTTCCTTTTCCACCATAGGCCTCAAAGCCTTCCAAATGTCCATTAGCAGACTCCACAAAAAGTGTGTTTCAAAACTACTCAATCAAAAGAAAGGTTTAATTCTTTGAGATGAAGGCACACATCACAAAGAAGTTTTTCAGATTGCTTCTCTCCAGATTTTATGTGAAGATATTTCCTTTTCTATCGCAGGCCGCAAAGCACTCCAAATGTCCACTTGCAGATACTACAAAAAGAGTGTTTCCAAACTGCTCAATCAAAAGAAAGCTTCAACTCTGTGAGATGAATGCACGCTTATAAAAGAAGTTTCCCAGAATTCTTCTGTCTAGTTTTTATGTGAAGATATTTTCTTTTCCACCACAGGACTAAATGCACTCCAAATGTTCACTTGAAGATTCTACAAAAAGACAGTTTCAAAACTGCTCAATCAGAAGAAAGGTTTAACTCTGGGAGATGAATGCACACATCACAAAGAAGGTTCCCAGATTGCTTCTGTCTGGATTTTATGTGAGGATATTTCCTTTTCAACCAAGGCCTCAAAGGACGTCAAATGTCAACCTGCAGATTCTACCAAAAGGGTGTTTCCATACTGCTCAAACAAAAGAAAGGTTCAACTCTGTGAGATGAATGGACACATCACAAATAAGTTTCTCAGAATTCTTCTGTCTAGTTTTTATGTGAAGTGATTTCCTTTTCTACCATTGGCCTCAAAGCACTCCAAATGTCCACTTACAGATACTACAAAAAGAGATTTTCAAAACTGTTCAATCAAAAGAAAGTTTTAACTCTGTGAGATGAACGCACACATCAAAAAGAAGTTTCTCAGATTGCTTCTGTCTAGATTTTAAGTGAAGATATTTCCTTTTTCACAATAGGAGACAAAGCGCTCGAAATGTCCACTTGCAGATTATACAAAAAGAGTATTTCAAAACTGGTCCATCAAAAGAAACGTTCAACTCTGGGAGATGAATGCACGCATCACAAAGCAGTTTCTCAGAATGCTTCTATCTAGTTTTTACGTGAAGATATTTCCTTTTCCACCATAGGCCTCAAAGCGCTCCAAATGTCCACTTGCAGATTCTACAAAAAGAGAGTTTCAAAACTGCTCAATCAAAAGAAAGATTCAACTCTGTGAGAAGAACGTACATATCAAAAAGAAGTTTCTCAGAATTCTTCTGTCTAGTTTTTATGTGAAGATATTTCCTTTTCCACAATAGGCCTCAAAGCCCTCCAAGTGTCCATGAGCAGATTCTACAAAAAGGGAGTTTCAAAACTCCTCAATCAAAAGAAAGTTTTAACTCTGTGGTATGAATGGACACATCACAAAGAAGTTTCTCAGATTGCTTCTGTCTAGATTTTATGTGAAGTTATTGCTTTTCTATCTTAGGCCGCAAAGCGCTCCAAATGACCACTTGCAGATTCCACAAAAAGAGTGTTTCCAAACTGCTCAATCAAAAGAAAGGTTCAGCTCTGTGAGATGAATGCACACATCACAAATAAGTTTCTCAGAATTCTTCTGTCTAGTACTTATGTGAAGATATTTTCTTTTCCACCACAGGACTAAATGCGCTCCAAATGTCCACTTGCAGATCCTACAAAAAGAGCATTTCTAAACTGCTCTATTGAAAGAAAGGGTTACCTCTGTGAGATGAATACACACATCACAAAGAAGTTTCTCACATTGCTTCTGTTTAGGTTTTATGTGAAGATATTTCCTTTTCTACCATAGGCCGCAAAGTGCTCCAAATGTCCACTTGCAGAATCTATAAAAATTGTGTTTCCAAACTGCTCAATCAAAAGAAAGGTTCAACTCTGTGAGATGAATGCACACATCACAAAGAAGTTTCTCAGAATTCTTCTGTCTAGTTTTATGTGAAGATATTTCCTTTTTCACCAAAGGCCTCAAAGCCCTCAAAATGTCCTCTTGCAGATTCTATAAAAAAAGATTTTCAAAACTGCTCAAACAAAGAAGGGTTTAACTCTGTGAGATGAATGCATACATCACAAAGATGTTTCTCAGATTGCTTCTGTCTAGATTTTATGTGAAGATATTTCCTTTTCTACCATAGGCCTCAAAGCCCTCCAAATGTCCACTTGCAGATTCCACAAAAGGAGTGTTTCAAAACTGCTCAATCAAAAGAAATGTTTAACTCTGTGAGATGAATGCACAAATCAAAAAGAAGTTTCTCACATTGCTTCTGTCTAGGTTTTATGTGAGGATATTTCCTTTTCTACCATAGGCCGCAAAGCACTCCAAATGTCCACTTGCAGAATCTACAAAAATTGTGTTTGCAAACTGCTCAATCAAAAGAAAGGTTCAACTCTGTGAGATGAACGCACACATCACAAAGAAGTTTCTCACTCAGAATTCTTCTGTCTAGTTTTATGTGAAGATATTTCATTTTCCACCATAGGCCTCGAGATGCTCTAAATGTCCACTTACACATTCTACAAAAAGAGTATTTCAAAACTGGTCCATAAAAAGGAAAGTTCAACTCTGTGAGATGAATGCACATGTCAGAAAGAAGGTTGTCAGAATGCTTCTGTCTAGTTTCTATATGAAGATATTTCCTTTTGCAACATAGGCCTAAAAGCTCTCAAAATCTCCACATGCAGATTCTACAAAAAGACAGTTTCAGAACTACTCCATCAAAGGGGAGGTTCAATGATGCAAGATGAATGCACATATCACTAAGAAGTTTGTCAGAATGCTCCTGTCTAGTTTTTATGTGAAGATATTCCTTATTCTACAATAGTCCACAAGGCGCTCCAAATGTCCACTTGCAGAT
>NT_187455.1:0-6158 GCF_000001405.40 Homo sapiens | reverse complement strand
TCAAAATAAAAACTACCCCAGAAGCATTCTGCGAAACTTATTTGTGATGTGTGCATTCAACTCACAGTGTTGAACCTATCTGTTGATTGAGCAGTTTAGAATCTCTCTTTTTGTAGAATCTGCAAGTGAATATTTGGAGCCCTATTTCGCCCTATAGTGGAAAAGGAAATATCTTCAAATAGAAACTACACAGAAGCATTCAGAGAACCTTCTTTCTGATGAGCGCATTCATCACAGAGTTGAACCTTTGTTTTGATTTAGCAGTTTTGAGGCAATCTTTCTGTAGAATCTGGAAGTAAATATTTGGAGGGCTTTGAGTTCTGTTTTGGAGAAGGAGATATCTTCATATACAAACTACACAGAAGCTTTCTGAGAAACACCTTTGTGAGGTTTGCATTGAAGTCACAGAGTTGAACCTATCTTTTGATTCAGCAGATTTGAATCTCTCTTTTTGCAGAATCTGTGAGTGGATATTTGGAGCGCTTTGAGGCCTACTGTGGAAAATCAAAAATCTTCACATAAAAACTACACAGAAGCATTTTGAGAAACTTCTTTGTGAGATATGCATTCAACTCACAGAGTTGAACTTATCTTTTCATTGAGAACTTTTGTATCTCTTTTTTGGTAGAATCTGCAAGTGGATATTTGGAGCTCTTTGCACCCTATTGTGGAAAAGGAAATATCTTCACATAAAAACTACACAGAAGCATTCAGAGAAACTTCTTTGTGATGAATGCATTCCTCACAGAGTTGAACCTTTCTTTTTATTGAGCAGTATTGAAACCCTCTTTTTGCAGAATCACCAATTGGATATTTGGAGAGCTTTGAAGCCTGTTTTGGAAAATGAAATATCTTCAAATTAAAACTACACAGAAGCATTCTGAGAAACTTCTTTGTGATGTGTGCATTCAACTCTCAGAGTTGCTCCTATCTTATGATTGAGCAGTTTTGAAACACTCGTTTTGTAGAATCTGCAAGTGGATATTTAGAGAGATTTGAGGCCTATTGTGTAAAAGAAAATATCTTGACATAAAAACTACACAGAAGCATTCTGAGAAACTTCTTTGGGAAGTGTGCATTCAACTAACAGTGTGGAACCTATCTTTTGATTGAGCCGCTTAGAATTTCTTTTTGTAGAATCTGCAAGTGGATATTTGGAGCCCCATTTCGCCCTATGGTGGAAAACGAAATATCTTCACATAAAAACTACACAGAAGCATTCTGAGAAAATTCTTTGTGATGTTTGCATTCAACTCATGGAGTCGAACCTATCTTTTGATAGAGCAGTTTTGAATCTCTCTTTTTGCAGAATATGCAAGTGGATATTTGGAAAGCTTTGAGGCCTATTGTGGAAAAGGAAATATATTCACATAAAAACTACAGAGAAGCATTCTGAGAAAGTTCTTTGTGAGGTATGGATTCAACCCACAGAGTTGGACTTATCTTTTCATTGAGCAGTTTTGAATGTCACTTTTTGTAGAATCTACAAGTGGATATTTGGAGCCCTTTGCGGCCTATGGTTGAAAAGGAAATATCTTCAAATTAAAACTACACAGAAGGATTATGAGAAACGTCTTTGTGATGTGTGCATTCAACTCCCAAGGTTGAACCTTTCTTATGATTGAGCAGTTTTGAAAAACTCTTTTTGTAGAATCTGCAAGTAGGTATTTGGAGGGCTTTGAGGCCTACTGTGGAAAAGCAAATATCTTCACCTAAAGACTACACGGAAGCATTCTGAGAAACTTCCTTGTGATGTGTGCATTCATCTCACAGAGTTGAACCTTTCTTTTGATTGAGCAGTTTTGAATCTCTCTTTTGGTAGAATCTCTAATTGGATATTTGGAGCGATTTGAGGCCTATTGTGGAAAAGGAAATATCTTCACACATAAAAAATACACAGAAGAATTCTGAGAAACTTCTTTGTGATGTGTGCTTTCAACTCACATGGTTGAACCTATCTATTGATTGAAACTCTTTTTGTAGATTCGGCAAGTGGATATTTGGAGCCCTTTGCAACCTATGGTGGAAAAGGAAATATCTTCAAATAAATAATGCACAGAAGCTTTCAAAGAAACTTCTTTGTGGTGAGTGCATTCATCACAGAGAGTTGAATCTTTCCTTTGATTGAGCAGTTTTGAAACACTCTTTTTGCAGGATCTGCAGGCAGATATTTTAGAGCTTTGAGGCCAAATGTGGAAAAGGAAACATCTTCACATAAAAACTAACCAGAAGCATTCTGAGAAACTTCTTTGTGAGGTGTGCATTCAACTCTCAGTGTTGAACGTATCTTTTGATTCAGCAGTTTTGAATATCTGTTTTGTAGGATCTGCTACTGGATATTTGGAGCCCTTTGCAGCCAATGGTGGAAAAGGACATATCGTCAAATAGAAACTACATAGAAGCATTCTGAGAAACTTCTTTGTGTTGTGTGCATTCATCTCACAGGGTTGAACACTTCCTTTCAGGGAGCAGTTTTGAAACAGTATTTTTCCAGAATCTGCAAGTGGATATTTGTAGAGCTTTGAGACATGTTGTGGAAAAGGAAATATCTTCAAATAAAAACTACACAGAAGTATTCAGAGAAACTTCTTTATGATGAGTGCATTCATCACAGACTTGAAACTTTCTTTTGATTGAGTAGTTTTGAAACTCTCCTTTTGTAGAAGATGGAAGTGGATATTTCGAGGTCTTTGAGGCTTATTTTGGAAACGGAAATATCCTCACATAAAAACTACACAGAAGCATTCTGACAAACTTCTCTGTTATGTGTTCATTCAATTCACAGTATTGAACGAATTTTTTGATTGAGCAGTTTTCAATTTCTCCATTTGTAGAATCTGGAAGTGGATATTTGGAGCTCTTTGCACCCTGTGTTGGAAAAAGAAATATCTTCAAATAAAAACTACACATAAGCATTCTGAAAAACTTCTTTGTGTTAAGTGCATTCATCACACAGAGTTGAAAGTTTCTTTTGATTGAGCAGTTTTGAAACACTGTTTTTGTAGAATCTGGAAGTGGATATTTGGAGGGCTTTGAGGCCTATTTTGGAAAAGGAAATATCTTAACATAAAAACTGCACAGAATTATTCGGAGAAACTCCTTTGTTATGTGTGCATTCAACACACAGAGTTGTGCCTATCTTTTGATTGAGCGGTTTTGAATCTCTCTTTTTGCAGAATCTGCAAGTGGATATTTGTATCGCTTTGAGGTCTACTGTGGAAAAGCAAATATTTTCAAATAAAAATTACACAGAAGCATTCTGAGAAACTTTGTTGTGAGGTGTGCATTCAACTCACAGAGTCGAACCCATCTTTTGATTGAACAGTTTTGAATCTCTCTTTTTGCAGAATCTGCAAGTGGATATTTGGAGTGCTTTGCGGCCTATTGTGGAAAAGGAAATATCTTCACATAAAAACTACACAGAGGCATTCTGAGAAACTTCTTTGTGATGTGTGCATTCAACTGACAGAGTTGAACCTATCTTTTGATTGAGCAGTTTTGAATCTCTCTTTTTGTAGCATCTGCAGGTGGAAATTTGGAGCCCTTTGCAGCCTACGTTGGAAAAGGAAATATCTTCAAATAAAAACTACACAGAATCATTCTTGGAAACATCTTTGTGATGAGTGCATTCATCAAAAAGGGTTGAATCTTTCTATTGACTGAGTAATTTGGAAACACTTTTTTTGTAGAATCCGGAAGTGGAAATTTGACGGGCTTTGTGCTCTATTTTGGAAAAGAAAATATCTTCAGATAAAAACTACACAGAAGCTTTCTGGGAAACTTCGTTGTTATGTGTGCATTCAAGTCACAGATTTTAACCATTATTTTGATAGAGCAGTTTTGAAACTCTCTTTTTGTAGAATCTGCAAGTGGATATTTGGAGGTCTTTGTGGCCTATGTTAGAAAACAAAATACCCTCACATAAAATCTATACAAAAGCTATCTGAGAAATTTGTTTGTGATGCATGCATTCTTCTCACAAAGTTGAACCTTTCCTTTGATTGAGCACTTTCAAAACACTCTTTTTGCAGAATCTGCAAGTGGATATTTGGAGCACTTTGTGGCCTATGGTAGAAAAGGAAATATCTTCACATAATTTGTAGACAGAAGCAAACTGAGAAACTTCTTTGTGATGTGTGTATTCATCTCACAGAGTTAAAACTTTCTTTTGATTGAACAGTTTTGAAACTCTCTCATTGTGACAGTCCACCTGCAGACTCCACAAAAAGATTGTTTCCAAACTACTCATTCAAAAGAATGCTCAACTCTGTGAGATGAATGCACACATCACAAAGAAGTTTCTCAGAATTCTTCTGTCTAGTTTTTAGGTGAAGATGCTTCCTTTTCCACTATAGGCCTCAAAGCACTCCAAATGTCCACTTGCAGATTATACAAAAAGAGAGTTAAAAAACTGATTAAACAAATGAGAGGTTTAACTCTGTGAGATGAATTCACACATCACAAAGAAGTTTCTCAGATTGCTTCTGTCTACATTCTATGTGAAGATATTTCCTTTTCTAAGATAGGCAGCAAAGCGTTCCAAATGCCCACATGCAGATTCTACAAAAAGACTGTTTCCAAACTGCTGAATCAAAAGAAAGGATCAACTCGGTGAGATGAACGCACGCATCAAAGCGAAGTTTCTCAGAATTCTTCTGTCTAGTTTTGATGTGAGTATAGTTTCTTTTCCACCATAGGCTTCAAAGCACTCCAAATGTGCACTTGCAGATTCTACAAAAAGAGAGTTTCCAAACTGCTCAATCAAAAGAAAGGTTTAACTCTGTGAGACGAATGCACACAGTACAAAGTAGTTTCTCAGATTGCTTCGGTCTAGATTTTTTGTGAAGATATTTTCTCTTATAACATAGGCTGCAAAGCACAAAAAATGTCCATTTGCAGATTCTACAAAAAGAATATTTCCAAACTGCTCAATCAAAAGGAAGTTTCAACTCTGTGAGATGAATTCACACATCACAAAGAAGTTTCTCAGAATTCTTCTGTCTAGTTTTTATGTGAAGATATTTCCTTTCCCACTATAGGCCTCAAAGCGCTCAAAATATCCAATTTCAGATTCTACAAAAAGAGAGTTTCAAAATTCCTCAATTAAAAGAAACATTTAACTCTGTGAGATGAATGCACACATCACAAAGAAGTTTTTCAGAATTCTTCTGTCTAGTCTTTATGTGAAGATATTTCCTTTTCCACAATGGTCCTCAAAACCCTCCAAATGTCCACTTGCAGATTCTATGAAAGGAGAGTTTCAAAACTCCTCAATCAAAAGAAGGTTTAACTCTTTGAGGTGAATGAACACTCCACTAAGAATTTTCTCAGATTGCTTCTGTCTAGATTTTATGTGAAGATATTTCCTTTTCTAACGTAGGCCGGAAGGTGCTCCAAATGTACACTTGCAGAACCTACAAAAAGAGTGTTTACAAACTGCTAAGTCAAAGGAAAGATTCAACTGTGTGAGATGAACGCCAGCATCACAAAGAAGTTTCTCAGAAATCTACTGTCTAGTTTTTATGTGAAGATATTTCCTTTTCCACCATAGGCCTAAAAACAATCGCACACATCACAAAGAAGTTTCTCAGGATTCTTCTACCTAGTTTTTATTTGAAGATATTTCCTTTTCCACCACAGGTGTCCAAGCTCTCCAAATGTCCATTTGCAGATTCTACAAAAAGAGAGTTTCAAAACTCCCAATCAAAAGAAATGTTTAAATTTTTGAGGTGAATGCACACATCAGAAAGAAGTTTCTCAGAAATCTACTGTCTAGTTTTTATGTGAAGATATTTCCTTTTCCATCATAGGCCTCAAGGCACTCCAAACGTCCACTTACTGATTCTTCAAAAAGAGAGTTTCAAAATTGCTCAATAAAAAGACAATTTTAACTCTGTTAGATGAGTGCACACATCACAAAGTAGTTTCTCAGATTGCTTCTGCCTTGATTTAATGTGAAGATATTTCTTTTTATTCAATAAACTGCAAAGCACTCCAAAAGTCCACTAGCAGCTTTGACAAAAAGACTGTTTCCATACTGCTCAAGAAAATAAAGGTTCAACTTTGTGGGATGAACACACACATCACAAAGAAGTTTCTCAGAATTCTTCTGCCTATTTTTTATGTGAAGATATTTCCTTTCCACCATAGGCCTCCAA
>NT_187454.1:0-6504 GCF_000001405.40 Homo sapiens | reverse complement strand
TTCTTAGGATGCAGGTTGGTCCAGCATGTGCAAATCAATAAATGTAATACATCACATAAACAGAACTAAAAACAAAAAACAAACGATTATCCCAATAGATGCAGAAAATAATAAAAGCCGTGTATAACAAACCCACAGCCAACAATCTGTTGAATGGGCAAAAGTTGGGGGCGTTTTTTTTTTGAAAACCAGCACAAGGCAAGAATGCCCTCTCTCACCATTTCTATTCAACATAGTATTGAAAGACCTGACCAGAGCAATCAGGCTAGAGAAAGAAATACAAAAAGCATCCAAATAGGAAGAGAGAAAGCCAAACTATTTCTGTTTGTAGATAACATAATTCTACATCTAGAAAACCCTGTAGTTTCAGCTACAAAGCTTCTTTAGTTAACATACAACTTCAGCGAAGTTTCAAGATACTAAATCAATGTGCAAAGATCACTAACATTTCTCTACACCAATGATAACCACACTGACAGCAAAATCAGAAAGGCCATACCATTCACAATTGCCACAAAAATAATAAAATACCTGGAAATGCAGCTCACCAGGGAGGTGAAAGAGCTCTACAATGAGAATTAAAAAACACTGCTCAAAGAAATCAGAGAAGACACAAACAAATGGAAAACCACCCCATGCTCATGGATAGGAAGATCCAATATGACTAAAATGGCTATACTTCACAAAGCAATTGACAGATTTAATGCTATTTCCATCAAACTGCCAATAAAATTTTTTACAGAGCTAGAAAAAACTATTTTAAAATTCCTATAGGCTGGGTGCAGTGGCTCACGCCTGTAATCCCAGCACTCTGGGAGGCCGAGGGGTGCAGATCATGAGGTCAGGAGATCGAGACCATCCTGGCCAACATGGTGAAACTCCTTCTCAACTAAAAATACAAAAAATAGCTGGGCGTAGTGGCAAGCGCTTGTAATCCCAGCTACTCGGGAGGCTGAGGCAGGAGACTCCATTGAACCAGGGAGTCAGAGGTTGCAGTGAGCTGAGATTGCACCACTGCACTCCAGCCTGATGACAGAGTGACATTCCATCAAATATATATATATATATGAAACCAAAAAGGAGCACACATAGCCAAGGCAATCCTAAGCAAAAAAGAACAAAGCTGCAGGCATCAGGTTGCCTGGCTTCAAATTACACTACAGGGCTATAGTAACGAAAACAGCATAATACTGATACAAAAACAGACACATAGACAAATGGAGCAGAATAGAGAGCCCAGAAACAAGGCTGCACATCTATGCCCATGTGATAATTGACAAGGCTGACAAAAACAAGCAATGAGAAAAAGATGATTTATTCAATAAGTGATGCTGAAATAATTGGCTGGCAATATGTGGAAGATTGAAGCTGGACCCCTTATTTACATCATATACAAAAAAAAAAATCAACTCAAGACTGATTGAAGACTTAAATATAAAATCTTTATGTATAAAAACCATGAAAGACAATCCAGGCAATACCATCCTGGATATAGGAACGGGCAAAGATTTCATGATAGAAAGACCAAAAGCAATAGCAAGAAAAGCAAAAATTAACAAGTAGGATTTAATTAAAGTAAAGAGATTTTGCATAGCAGAAAAAAAACTATTAGAGTAAACAGAAAACCTATGGAGTGGAAAAAATATTTGTAAACTATCCATCTAACAAAGGTCTAATATCTATCATCTATAAGGAACTTAAATTTACAAAAGAAAAACAACCCCATTAAAAAGTGGGCAAAGACATGAACAGACAGTTTTTGAAAGAAGACATACATGAGGCCAATAAGTGTATGAGAAAAAGCTCAGCATCAATGATAGTTAGAGAAGTGAAAATTAAAACCACAATGAAATGCCATCTCACACTAGTCAGAATGGCTATAGTCAAACAATAAATGCTGGAGAGGTTGTAGAGAAAAGGGAACTTATACACTGTTGGTGGGAGTGTAAACTAGTTCAACTGCTGTGGAAAGCAGTTTGGCAATTCCTCAAAGAGCTAAAAGCAGAACTACCATTCAATAGTTCTGCTTGCAATCCCATTACTGCGTATATTTCCAGAAAAATAGGAATTATTCTACCATAAAGACACATGCATGCAAATGTTCACTGCAGCCCTATTCACAACAGCAATGACATGGAATCAACCTAAATACTATCAGTAACAGATTAGATAAACAAAATGTGCTACGTATACATTATGGAATACTATGCACCCATAAAAAAGAATGAGATTATGTCCTTTGTGGAAACATAGACATAACTGGATACTATTGTCCTTAGCAAACTAACACAGGAAGAGAAAACCAAATATCACATGTTCTGACTTATAAGTGGGAGCTAAATGATAAGAATGTATGAACACGAGGAGGAAAACAGTAGACCATGGGGTCTATTTGAAGTAAGAGGGTGGGAGGAGGGAAAGAAGCAGAAAAGATAGCCATTGGGTACTGGGCTTAATACCTGGGTGATGAAATCATCTATACAGCAAACTCCTGTGACATATGTTTACCTGTGTAACAAACCTTCACTCATATACCCGAACCTACTGTAAAAGTTTCAAAAAGTTAAACTTTAAAAACTCTTGGGAAAAAGCTTAAGCAAAAATCTTATAACATTAAATTTTGTGATGGTTTCTTGACTGTAACACCAAAAGCATAGGCCAGAAAATAAAAAACAGATAAATTGGACTTGATTTAAATGTGAAACTTTTCTGATTTTTTGATATGAAAAACACTCTGTTGTTCGTGTTTTTTGATAGAAAAAAAAAACCCACCTCTTCTAAAATTTGATACAAAAAGCATGAACAAGAGAGTGAAAAGACAACCAGCAAATGGGAGAAAAGATTTGCAAAGCATGTAACTGATTGGGTACATAAGGTAAAATATAATAAGCAGGATATATAAAGAACTTCTAAAACTCAACAACAAAACGAAACAACAAAAGCATTTATAAAAGGGCAGAGGACTTGTATAAACATTGGGTCAAAAAGTCTACAGAAAAATGCTCAACCTCACCAGTCATGAGGGATATGGATATCAAAACCACAACAAGTTACCACTTTACATCTATTAGATTGGCTATATGAAAACCAAAACAACAAAAATGAAAAAGAACAAGTATTGGCCAGGATGTGGGGGAAGTGAAACCCTGGTGCATGGCTGGTGAGAATATAAAATGATTTATTGACTGTGACCAATAGATTGGCAGTTTATCAGAAAGTTCTACATAGAATTACCATATGTTTCACAACAGGTGGAACAGTTCCATATGTTCCAATTACAGGTGTATCCAAAATAATTAAAAACAATGACATAAGCTGCAAACTCTGCCTCTGTGTATTAAGTGATCCTTGTGCCTCAGTCTCCCGAATAGCTGGGACTACAAACATGCACCACAATGCCCAGCTAATTTTTGAATTTTTAGTAGAGATGGGGTTTTGCCATGATTCTATGGCTGGTCTCGAACTCCTGAGCTTAAGTGATCTGCCTGCCTCAGCCTCCCAAAGATTTGGGATTACAGGTGTAAGCCACCATGCCTGGACTCCGTTATTCAATCTAAGAACTGCATGCAGAAATGTGTTCAGATTTTAAAATTTTATTCACTTATGCACTAATACTTTCAAACCAAATTTTATAGCAGCATCATTTACAGTAAAAAATTTAAAAAGAAATCCAGATATCTTCTAAGAGTCAAACTGACAAAGAAAATATGGTATATACACACAACAGAATATTATTTATCCTTAAAATGAATGTTGGGGGGAGGAGCCAAGAAGGCCGAATAGGAACAGCTCCGCTCTACAGCTCCCAGTGTGAGTGACACAGAAGACGGGTGATTTCTGCATTTCCAACTGAGGTACCGGGTTCATCTCACTGGGGAGTGCCAGACAGTAGGTGCAGGACAGTGGGTGCAGCACCCCGTGCATGAGCCGAAGCAGGGCAAGGAATTGCCTCACCCGTGAAGTGCAAGGGGTCAGGGAATTCCCTTTCCTAGAAAAGAAAGTGGTGACAGATGGCATCTGGAAAATCGGGTCACTCCACCCTAACACTGCGCTTTTCCAACGGGCTTAAAAAATGTCACACCAGGAGATTATATCCTGCACCTGGCTCAGAGAGTCCTACGTCCACGGAGCCTCACTCATTGCTAGCACGTCAGTCGAAGATCAAACTGCAAGGTGGCAGCGAGGCTGGGGGTGGGACACCCGCCATTGCTAAGGCATGAGTAGGTAAACAAAGTAGCCAGGAAGCGGGAACTGGGTGGAGCCCACCACAGCTCAAGGAGGCCTGCCTGCCCCTGTAGGCTCCACCTCTGGGGGCAGGGCACAGACAAACAAAAAGACAGCAGTAACCTCTGCAGACTTAAATATCCCTCTCTGACAGCTTTGAAGAGGGTAGTGGTTCTCCCAGCTCGCAGCTTGTGATCTGAGAATGGACAGACTACCTCCTCAAGTGGGTCCCTGACTCCTGAGTAGCCTAACTGGGAGGAACCCCCCAGTAGGGTTGGACTGAAACCTCACACAGCCTGGTACTCTTCTGAAACAAAACTTCCAGAGGAACGATCAGGCAGCAGCATCTGCGGTTCACCAATATCCACTGTTCTGCAGTCACCACTGCTGATATGCAGGCAAACAGGGTCTGGAATGGACCTCTAGTAAACTCCAACAGACCTGCAGCTGAGGGTCCTGATTTTAGAAGGAAAACTAACAAACAGAAAGGACATCCACACCAAAAACCCATCCGTACATCACCATCATTAAAGCCCACGTTAGATAAAACCAAAAAGATGGGAAACAAGTAGAGCAGAAAAACTGGAAACTCTAAAATTCAGAGCACCTCTCCTCCTCCAAATGAACAAAACTCCTCACCAGCAACGGAACAAAGCTGGATGGAGAATGACTTCGATGAGTTGAGAGAATAAGGCTTCAGATGATCAAACTAATCTGAGCTACAGGAGGAGATTCGAACCAATGGCAAAGAAGATAAAAACTTTGAAAAAAAATAGATGAATGGATCACTAGAATAACCAATGCAGAGAAGTCCTTAAAGGACCTGATGGAGCTGAAAACCAAGGCACAAGAACTACGTGATGAATGCAGAAGCCTCAGTAGCCAATGTGATCAACTGGAAGAAAGGGTATCAGTGATGGAAGACAAAAGGAATGAAATGAAGCGAGAAGAGAAGTTTAGCAAAAAAGAATAAAAAGAAATGAACAAAGCCAACAAGAAATATGGGACTACGTGAAAAGACCAAATCTACGTCTGATTGGTGTACCTGAAAGTGACGGGTTGAATGGAACCAAATTGAAAAACACTCTGCAGGATATTATCCAGGAGAACTTCCCCAATCTAGCAAGGCAGGCCAACATTCAAATTCAGAAAATACATAGAAGGCAACAAAGGTACTCCTCGAGAATAGCAAATCCAAGGCACATAACTGTCAGATTCACCAAAGTTGAAATGAATGAAAAAATGTTAAGGGCAGCCTGAGAGAAAAGTTGGGTGACCCACAAAGGGAAGCCCATCAGACTACAGCTGGGGGCCAATATTCAACATTCTTAAAGAAAATAATTTTCAACCCAGAATTTCATATCCAGCCAAACTAAGCTTCATAAATGAAGTAGAAATAAAATACTTTACAGACAGACAAATGCTGAGAGATTTTGTCTCCAACAGGCCTGCCCTAAAAGACTCCTTAAGCCGGTTTTTTGAAAGGATCAAAAAAATGATAGACCACTAGCAAGACTAATAAAGAAAAAAAGAGAAGAATCAAATAGACACAATAAACAATGATAAAGGGGATATCACCACCAATCCCATAGAAATACAAACTGCTATCAGAGACTACTACAAACAACTCTGTGCAAATAAACTAGAAAATCTAGAAGAAATGGATAAATTCGTTGACACATACACTCTCCCAAGACTAAACCAGGAAGAAGTTGAATCTCTGAATAGACCAAAAACAGGGGCTAAAGTTGTGGCAATAATCAATAGCTTACCAACTAAAAGGAGTCCAGGACCAGATGGATTCACAGCCGAATTCTACCGGAGGTACAAGGAGGAACTGGTACCATTCTTTCTGAAACTATTCCAATCAATAGAAAATGAGTGAATCCTCCCTAACTCATTTTATGAGGCCAGCATCATCCTGATACCAAGGCCTGCCAGAGACACAACTAAAAAAGAGAATTTTAAACTAATATACTCGATGAACATTGATGCAAAAATCCTCAATAACATACTGAAAAACCGAATCAAGCAGCATATCAAAAAGCTTATCCACGATGATCAAGTGGGCTTCATCCCTGGGATGCAAGGCTGGTTCAATATACGCAAATCAATAAATGTAATCCAGCATAGAAACAGAACCAAAGACAAAAACCACATGATTATCTCAATAGATGCAGAAAGGGCGTTTGACAAAATTCAACGACACTTCATACTAAAAACTCTCAATAAATTAGGTATGATGGGACGTATCTGAAAATAATAAGAGCTATCTAGGCC
>NT_187453.1:0-4513 GCF_000001405.40 Homo sapiens | reverse complement strand
CTTTTTGTAGAATCTACAAATGGACATTTGGATTGCTTTGTGGCCTATTGTAGAAAAGGAAATATCTTCACTTAAAATCTAGACAAAAGCAATCTCACAAACTTCTTTGTGATGTGTGCATTCGTCTCAAGGAGTTAAACCTTTATTTTCATTGAGTAGTTTTGAAACTCTCTTTTGTAGAATCTGCAAGTGGACATTTGGAGTGCTTTGAGGCCTATAGTGCAAAAGGAAATATCTTCACATAAAAACTAGATAGAAGCATTCTGAGAAACTTCTTTGTGATGTGTGCATTCATCTCTCAGAGTTGAAGCTTTCTTTTGGTGGAACAGTTTTGAAATACTCTTTTTGTAGAATCTGCAAGTGGACATTTTGAGAGCCTTCAGGCCTAAGGTGGAAAAGGAAGTATCTTCATATAAAAACTAGACAGAAGAATTCTGACAAACTTCTTTGTGATGAGTGCGTTCATCTCTCAGAGTTGAACATTTCTTTTGATTAAGCAGTTTGGAAACACACTTTTTGTAGAATCTGCAAGTGGACATTTGGAACACTTTGTGGCCTATGGTAGAAAAGGAAATATCATCACATAAAATCCAGACAGAAGCAATCTGAAAGACTTCTTTGTTATGTGTGCATACATCTCACACAGTTAAACTTTTTTTTGATTGAGCAGTTTTGAAACTCTCTTTTTGTAGAATCTGCAAGTGGACATTTGGAGCGATTTGGGGCCTGTGGTGGAAAAGAAATTATCTTCACATAAAAACAAGGCAGAAGAATTCTGAGAAACTTCTTTGTGATGTGTGCATTCATCTCCCAGATTTGAACCATTCTTTTGACGGACCAGTTAGGAAATACACTTTTTGTAGGATATGCAAGCGTACATTTGTAGCGCTTTAAGGCCTATGGTGGAAAAGGAAATATCTTCATATAAAAACTAGTCAGAAGAATTCTGAGACACTTCTTTGTGATGCGTGCATTCATCTCACAAGGTTGAACCTATCTTATGATTGAGCAGTATTGAAACACTCTCTTTCTAGAATCTGCAAGTGGATATTTGGTGTGCTTTGAGGCCTACTGTGGAAAAGGAAATATCTTCACATAAAAACTACACAGAAACCCTCTGAGAAACTTCTTTGTGATATGTGGATTAATCTCACAGTGTTCAACCTTTATTTTGATTGAGCAGTTTTGAAACACTGTTTTTGTAGAATCTGTAAGTGCATATACGGAGCCCCTGGAGGCCTACGGTGGAAAAGCATATATCTTCACATAAAAACTGCACAGAAGCATATTGAGAAATTTCTTTGTGATGTGTACATTCATCTCACAGAGTTGAACTTTCTTTTTATTGAGCAGTTTTGAAACACTCTTTTTGTAGTATCTGTAAGTGGATATTTGGAGCACTTTGAGGCCTATTGTGGAAAAGGAAATATGTTCACATAAAAACTACAGAGAAGCATTCTGAGACACATCTTTGTGATGTTTGCATTCAACTCACAGAGTTGTACCTATCTTTTGATTAAGCAGTTTTGCATCTCTCTTTTTGTAGAATCTGCAAGTAGATAATTGGAGCCCTATGCCACCTACGGAGGAAAAGGAGATATCTTCAAATAAAAACTACACAGAGGCATTCTGAGAAACTTCTTTGTGATGTGTGTTTTTGTCTCACAGAGTTGTACCTATCTTATGATTAAGCAGTTTTGAAACACTCTTTGTAGAATCTGCAAGTGGATACTTGGAGTGCTTTGAGGCCTACTATGGCAAAGAAATATCTTCACATAAAAACTACACAGAAGCATTCTGAGAAACTTTGTGATGTGTGCATTCATCTCACAAAATTCCAACTTTCTTTTGATTCAGCAGTTTTCAAACACTGTTCTTGTAGAATCTGTAAGTCAGTATTTGCAGGGTTTTGAGGCTTACCACTGAAAAGCAAATAGCTTCACATAAAAAATACACAGAACCATTCTGAAAAACTTCTTTGTGATGTGTGCATTCATCTCACGGGTTTGAACCTATCTTACGATTGAGCAGTTTTGAAACATTGTCTTTCTAGAATCTGCAAGTGGATATTTGGAGCGCTTTGAGGCTTACTGTGGAAAAGGAAATATCTTCACATAAATACTACACAGAAGCATTCTGAGAAACGTATTATTGATGTGTGTATTCAACTCACAGTGTTGAACCTCTCTTTTCATCGAGCAGTTTTGAATCTGTCTTTTTGTAGAATCTGCAAGTGGACATTTGGAGCCCTTTCTGACATATGGAGGAAAAGGAAATATCTTTCAATAAAAACTACACAGAAGCATTCTCAGAAACTTGTTTGATGTGTACATTCATCTCAGAGAGTTGAAACTTTCTTTTGTTTGAGCAGTTTTTAAACACTCTTTTTTTAGAAATTGCAAGTGGATATTTGGAGTGCTTTGAGGCCTATTATGGTAAAGGAAATATCTTCACATAAAAACTACACAGAAGCATTCTGAGAAACTTCTTTGTGATGTGTGCATTCATCTCTCAGAGTTGAAACTGACTTTTGATTGAGCAATTTTAAAATACTCTTTTTGTGGAATCTGCAAGTGGATATTTGGAGCATTTTGGGGCCTATTGTGGAAAAGGAAATATCTTCACATAAAAAGTACACAGAGGAAATCTGATAATCTTCTTTGTGATGTGAGCATTCCACTCACAGTGTTGAAAATTTCTTTTCATTGATCAGTTTTGAAACACTCTTTTTGTATAATCTGCAATTGGATATTTGGAGCGCTTTGAGGCCTATGGTGGAAAAGGAGATATTTTCACATAAAAACTACACAGTTGCATTCTGAGAAACTTCTTTGCTTTGTGTGCTTTCATTTCACAGAGTTGAAACTTTCTTTTGATTTAGCAGTTTGGAAAAACTCCTTTTTTAGAATCTGCAAGTGGATATTTGGAGGGCTTTCAGGCCTAGTTTTGAAAAGGAAATATCTTCACATAAAACCTACGAAGAAGGATTCTGAGAAACTTTTTAGTGACATATGCATTCAAATCACAGAGTTGAACATATCCTTTGATTGAGCAGTTTTGAAACTCTCTTTTTGTAGAATCTGGAAGTGGGTATTTGGAGCCGTTTGTGGCCTGCTGTTGAAAAGGGAATATCTTCAGATAGAAACTACACAGAAGCATTCTGAGAAACTTCTTTGTGACGTGTGCATTCATCTCACAGAGTTGAACATTTCCTTTGAGCAGTTTGGAAACACTCTTTTTGTAGAATATGCAATTGGATATTTGGAGCCATTTGTGGCATATGGTGGAAAAGGAAATGTCTTCACGTAAAAACTACACAGAAGCATTCTGAGAAAGTACTTTTTGATGTGTGCATTCATCTCACTGAGTTGAAACTTTCTTTTGATTGAGCAGTTTGGAAACATCTTTTTGTAGAATCTGCAAGTGGATATTTGGAGCGCTTGGAAGCCTATGGTGGAAAAGGAAATACCTTCACATAAAAAAAGAAAAACACAGCCGTCTCAGAAACTTCTTTGTGATGTATGCATTCAACACACAGATTACAACCAATCTTTTGATTGAGCAGTTTTGAATCTCTCTTTATGTAGAATCTCCAAGTGGATATTTGGAGTGCTTTGAGGCCTGCAGTGGAAAAGGAAATAGCTTCACATTAAAAGTACACAGAGCATTCTCAGAAACTCCTTTGTGTGTGCGTTCATCTCACAGAGTTGAATGTTTCTTTTTATTGAACAGTTTGGAGACACTCTTTTTGAAGAATCTTCAAGTGGATATTTGGAGCACTTTGGAGCCTATGGTGGAAAAGGGAATATCTTCACATAAAAACTTGTACACAGAAGCATTCTGAGAAACATCTTTGCGATGTGTGCATTCATCTCATAGAGTTGAACTTTTCTTTTGACTGAGCAGTTTTGAAAAACTCTTTTTCTAGAATCTGTGGATTCTAGTGGATATTTGGAACACTATCAAGGCTATTGTGTAAAAGGAAATATCTTCACATAAAAACTAAACAGAAGCATTATGAGAAACTTTTTCAAGATGTGTACATTCAACTCACAGAGTTGAAGCTATCTTTTTATTGAGCAGTTTTGAAACTCTCTTTTTCTACAATCTGTAAGTGGATATTTGGAGCCCTCTAAGGCCTCTAGGTCTCTAGGCATGGGCAATGACTTCATGTCGAAAACACCAAAAGCAATGGCAACAAAATCCAAAATTGACAAATGGGAACTAATTAAACTAAAGAGCTTCTGCAAAGCAAAAGAAACTACCATCAGAGTGAACAGGCAACCCACAAAATGGGAGAAAATTTTCGCAACCTACTCATCTGACAAACGGCTAATATCCAGAATCTACAATGAACTCAAACAAATTTACAAGGAAAAGACAAACAACCCCATCAAAAAGTGAGTGAAAGACATGAACAGACACTTCTCAAAAGAAGACATTTATGCAGCAAAAAACACATAAAGAAATGCTCACCATCACTGGCCATCAGAGAAATGCAAATCAAAACAAT
>NT_187452.1:0-4685 GCF_000001405.40 Homo sapiens | reverse complement strand
GGATGTGTGCATTTCCTCACAGAGTTGATACTTTCTTTTGATTGAGCAGTTTTAAAACACTCTTTTTGTAGAATCTGGAAGTGTATAGTTGGTGCCCTTAGAGGCCTATGGTGGAAAAGGGAATATCTTCACATAAAAACAACACAGAAGCATTCTGAGAAACTTCGTTGTGATGTGTGCATTCATCTCACAGAGTTGAATCTTTCTTTTGATTGAGCAGTTTTGGAACTTTCTTTTTGTAAAATCTGCATGTGGTTGTTTGGAGCCCTTTGTGGCCAATGGAGGAAAAGGAAATATGTTCCCCTAAAAACTACACAGAAGTATTCTGGGAAAATTCTTTGTAATGTGTGCATTCATCTCACAGTGTTAAATTTTGTATTGTTTGAACAGATTTGAGACACTTTTTTCACAGAATCTGCAAGTGGATATATGGAGCGCTTTGAGGCCTATGGTGGATAGGGATATATCTTCACATAAAAACTACACAGAAGGATTCCGAGAAATTTCTTTGTGATGTGTGCATTCAACTCGCAGCATTGTACCGATCTTTTGATATAGCAGTTTTGAAACAGTCTTTTTGTAGAATCTGTGTGTGATTATTTGGAGCCCATTGTGGCCAATGGTGGAAAAAGAAATATCTTCCTCTAAAAACTACACAGAAACATTCTGAGAAACTTCCTTGTTATGTATACATTCAGCTCACAGAGTTGAACCTTTAATTTGATTAAGTAGTTTTGAGACACTCTTTTTGTAGAATCTGCATTTGGAAATTTGGAGTGCTTTGTCGCCTAATGTGGAAAAGGTAACATCTTCACATACAAACTACACAGAAGGATTCTGAGACACTTCTTTGTTTTGTGTGCATTTGTGTCACAGGGTTGATCCTTTCTTTAGACTGAGCAGTTTTGAAACACTCTTTTTGTAGAAACTGCAAGTGGTATTTGAGCACATTGAGGCCTATGGTGGAAAAGGAGATATCTTCAAGTAAAAACTACAGAGAAGCATTCTGAGAAACTTGTTTCTGAGGTGTGCATTCATCTCACAGAGTTGAACATATATTTTGATAGAGCAGTTTTGAAACTCTCTTTTTGTAGAATCTGCAAGGGGATATTTAGAGACCTTTGCGGCCTATGTTGGGAAGGGAAATATCTTCACATAAGAACCGCACAGAAGCATTGTGAGAAACTTCTTTGTGATGTGCTCATTCATCTCACAGAGTTGAAACCTTCTTTTGATTGAGGAGTTATGAAACACTCTTTTTGAAGAATCTGCAAGTGGAAATTTGGAGTGCATTGAGGCCCATGGTGGAAAATGAAACATCTTCACATAAAAATTACACAGAAGCATTCTGAGAAACTTCTTTGTGATGTGTGCATTCAATTCACGTAGTTGAACCTATCTTTTGACAGAGCAGTATTGAAACTCTCATTTTGCAGAATCTGCAAGTGGCTATTTGGAACCCTTTGTGGCCTGTGGTGTAAAAGGAAATATATTAACATAAAAAAAGAACAGAAGCATTCTGAGAAACTTCTTTGAGATGTGTGCATTCAGCTCACAGAGTTGAACCTATCTTTTGATAGAGAAGTTTTGAAACTCTCTTTTGGTAGAATTTGCAAGTGGATATTTGGAGCCATTTGCACCTATGATAGAAAAGGAAATATCTTCACACAAAAACTACACAGAAGCATTCTGAGAAACTTCGTTGTGATATGTGCATTCATCTCAAAAATTTGAACATTTCTTTTGATTGAGCACTTTTGAAACACTCTTTGAGTAGAATCTGCAATGGGATATTTGGAGCGCTGTGAGGCCTATGGTGGAAAAGGAAATATCTTCACATAAAAATAACACAGAAGCTTTCTGAGAAACTTCTTTGTGATGTGTGCATTCAACTCACAGAGTTCAACCTATCTTTTTATAGAGCGTTTTGGAACTCTCTTTTTGTAGAATCTGTAAGTGGATATTTGGAGCCCTTTGATGCCTATGTTGGAAGAGGAAATATCTTCACATAAAAACTACAGTGAATCAATCTGAGAAACTTCTTTGTGATGTGAGCATTCAACTCAAAGAGTTGAACCTATCTTTTGTTAGAGCAGTTTGGAAACCTTCTTTTTGTAGAATCTGCAAGCGGATATTAAGAGCCCTTTGCAGAGTATAGAGAAAAAGAAAATATCTTAACAAAAAAACTACACAGGAGCATTCTGAGAAACTTCTTTGTCGTGTGTGCATTCAACACACAGAGTTGAACATATCTTTTGATAGGGCAGTTTTGAAACTCTCTTTTTGTACAATCTGCAAGTGGATATTTGGAGCCCTTTGGGGCCTTTTGTGGAAATGGCAATATCTTCACATAAAAAGCACACGGAAGCATTCAGAGAAACTTCTTTTATTGTGTGCATTCATCTCACAGAGGTGAAACTCTCTTTTGATTGAGCAGCTTGGAAACACTCTTTTTGTAGAATCTGCAAGTAGATATATGAAGCGCTTTGAGGCCTATTGTGGAAAAGGAAATATCTTCACAGAAAAACTACACAGAAGCATTCTGTGAAAATTCTTTGTGATGTGTGCATTCATCCCACAGAGTTGCACCTTTCAATTCATTGAGCATTTTTGAAAATCTTTTTGTAGAATCTGCAAGTGGATACAAGGAGTGCATTGAGGCCTATGGTGGAAAAGGAAATATCTTCATATAAAAACTTCACAGAAGCATGCTGACAAACTTCTTTGTGATGTGTGCATTCATCTCACAGAGTTGAAACTTTCATTTCATAGAGCCGTTTTGAAACACTCTTTTTGTAGAATCTGCAAGTGGATATTTTGAGCGCTTTGAGGTCTATGGTGGAAAAGGAAATATCTTCATATAAACACTACGCAGAAACATTCTGAGAAACTTCTTTGTGATGTGTGCTTTCATCTCATAGTGTTGAACCTATCTTTTTATATAGCAGTTTTGAAACTCTTTTTGTAGAATCTGCAAGAGGATATTTGTAGCCCTATGCTGCCTATTGTAGAAAAGGAAATAACTTCTCATAAACACTACACAGAAGCATTCTGAGAAACTTCTGTCTGATGTGTGCATTCAGCTCACAGAATTGAACCTGTCTTTTCATAGAGCAGTTTTGAAACTCTCTTTTTGTAGAATCTGCAAGTGGATGTTTGGAGCCCTTTGCGGCCTATTGTAGAATAGGAAATATCTTCACATAAAAACTACACAGAAGCATTCTGAGAAACTTCTTTGTGATGTGTGCATTCAACTCACAAAGTTGAATCTTTCAGTTGATTGAGCAGTTTTGAAACACTCTTTTTGTAGAATCTGCATTTGGATACTTGGAGTGCGTTGAGGCCTATTGTGGAAAAGGGAATACTTTCACATAAAAGCTACACAGAAGCTTTCTCAGAAAGTTCTTTGTTTTGAGTGCAGTCATCTCACAGAGTTGAAATTTCTTTTCATTGAGCAGTTTTGAAACACTCTTTTTGTATAATCTGCACGTGGATATTTGGAGCACTTTGAGGCCTATGGTGGAAAAGGAAATATCTTCACATAAAAACTACACAGAAGCATTCTGAGAAAATACTTTGTGATGTGTGCATTCATATCACAGAGTTGAACCTGTCTTTTGATAGAGCAGTGTTGAAATTCTCTTTTTGTACAATCTGCAAGTGGATATTTGGAGCCCTTTGTTCCCTGCTGTGGAAAAGGAAATACATTCTCTTAAAAGCTGCAGAGAAGCATTCCGAGAACCTTCTTTGTGATGTGTGCATTGATTTCACAGAGTTGAAGCTTTCTTTTGATTGAGCAGTTTTGAAACACTGTTTTCATAGAATCTGCAAGTGGATATTTAGAGCGTTTTGAGGCCTATGGAGGAAAAGGACATATCTTCACATAGAAACTACCCAGAAGCATTCTGTGAAACTTCTTTGTGATGTTTGCATTCAACTCGCAGAGTTGAACCTATCTTTTGATAGAGCAGTTTGGAAACTTTTTTTATAGAATCTTCATGTGGTTATTTTGAGACATTTGTGGCCGATGGTGGAAAAGGAAATATCTTTCCCTAAAACTTACAGAGAAGCATTCTGAGAAACTTCTTTGTTATGTGTGCATTCATCTCACAGAGCTGAACTTTTCATTTGATTGGGCATTTTTGAAACACTCTTTTTGTAAAATCTGCAATTGGATATTTGGAGCACTTTGAGACCTATTGTGGAAAAGGAAATATCTTCATATAAAAACTACACAGCAGCCTTCTCAGAAAAGTCTTTGTGATGTGTGCATTCATCTCACACTGTTGAACCTTTCTTTTGATTTAGCAGTTTGGAAACACTGTTTTAGTAGAATCTGCAGCTGGATATTTGGAGCCCTCAGAGCCATATTGTGGAAAAGGAAATATCTTCACATAACAACTACACAGAAGCATTCTGAGAAACTTCTTTGTGATGTGAACATTCATCTCACAGAGTTCAACCTTTCTTTTGATTGAGCATTTTGAAACTCTCTTTTTGTAGAATCTGCAAGTGGATAATTGGAGTGCTTTGAGGCCTATGATGGAAAAGTAAATATCTTCTCATAAAAACTACACAGAAGCATTATGAGAAACTTCTTTGTGATGTGTGCATTCATCTCACAGAGTTGAACCTATCTTGTGATACAGCAGTTTTGAAACTTTCTTTTTTTATTATACTTTAAG
>NT_187451.1:41507-44474 GCF_000001405.40 Homo sapiens | reverse complement strand
ATAGGACGGAAGGGAACGGAACAGAATGGAACAGAGTTTAGTGGAGAGTAGTGGAATTGAGTGGGGTGGATCAGAGTGCAGTGGAATGGAATGGAATGAAATGGAATGGTATGAAATGAAGGGGAGAGGAGTGGAGTGGAGTTGAGTGGAATGGGTTTGAGTGGAGTGGATCGCACTGCAGTGGAATGGAAAGGAATGGAATGGAAAGCAGTAGAATGGACTGGAGTGGAGTGGAGTGGAGGGGATTGGACTGGAATGGACGGGAGTTGAGTGGAGTGGAGGGCAATGGAGTGGAATGGAGTGGAATGGAATGGATTGGAGTGGAATGGAATGGAGTGGAATGGAACGGAATGGAATGGAAGGGAAAGGAATAGAATGGATCGGATCGAGTGGAGTGGAATGGAGTGGAGTGGAGTTGCGTGGAGTGGAACGGAGTGCAGGGAATGGAATGGAATGGAATGGAATGGAGTGGAATGGAGTTGAGTAGAATGGGATGGAATGGAGTGGAGTTGAGTGTAGTGGAGTGGAATGGCGTGTAATAAAGTGAAATGGAGTGGTGCTGTGAGGAGTGGAGTGGAATGGAATGGAGTGGAATGCAACAAACCCGAACGGAACGGAACAAAACGAAATGGAATGGAGTGGAGTGGAGTGCAGTGGAGTTTAGTGGAGTGGAGTGGACTGGAGAGGAGTGGAGTGGAGTGCAGTGGAGTAGATTGGAATGGAGTGGAATGGAGTAGAGTGGAATGGAATGGAATGGAATGGAATGCGAAGGAATGTAGCAGAATGGAATGGAACAGATTGGAAAGGAGTGGAGTTGAGTGGAGTGGAGTGAAATAGAATGGGATGGACTGGAATAGAATGGAATGGAATGGAGTGGAATGGAGTGGAGTGGAGTGGAATGGAATGGAATGGAATGGAAGGGAGTTGAATGGAATGGAATGGAATGGAATGGTGAAATGAAATGTGAGCTAAGAACGTGCCATTGCACTCCTGTCAGGGTGACAGAGTGACATCCTGTTGAAATAAAGGAATGGAATGGAATGGATTAGAATGGAATGGAATGGAGTGGACTGTAATGGAATGGTGTGGAATGGAGTGGAGTGGAATGGAGTGGAATGGAGTGGAGTGGAACGGAATGGAATGGAGTGGAACGGAATGGAATGGAGTGGAACGGAATGCAGTGGAATGGAGTGGAATGGAGTGGAATGGAGTGGAGTGGAATGGAATGGAGTGGAAAGGAAAGGAGTGGAATGGAACAGAATGGAATGAAACAGAACGGAATGAAACGGCATGGAGTGGAATGGAGTTGAGTGGAGTGTATAGGACTGCAGTGGAATGCGATGGAATGGAATGGAGTGGAGTGGAGTGGACTGGAGTGGAGTGGAGTGGAGTGGAGTGGAATATAGAGGAAAGGAGTGGAGTGGAATGGAATGGAATGGAAAGGAGTGGAATGGAAAGTTAAGGAGTGGCATGGAATGGAGTGGAGTGGAGTTGAGTGGAGTGCATCAGAGTGCAGTGGAATGCTATTGAATGGAATGGAATGGAATGGAATGGAATGGAATGGAACGTAACGTTATGGAGTGTATTGGAATGCAGTGGAGTAGAGTGGAGTGGTGTTGAATGAAATGGATCGGATTGCTGTTGAATGGAATGGAATGGAGTGTAGTGGAATGGAGAAGAGTGTAGTGTAGTGTAGTGGACTGGAGTGGAATGTAAAGGAATGGAATGGAATGGTGAAATGAAATGTGATCTAAAATTGTGCCACTGCACTCCAGTCTGGGTGTAAGAGTGAGATCCAGTCGAAATAAAGGAATGCAACGGAATGGAGTAGAATGGAATGGAATAGATTGGAGTGGAACGGAATGGAGTGTAATGGAGTGGAGTGCAGTGAAATGGAATGGAGTGGAATGGAGTGGAGTGGAATGGAGTGGAATGGAGTGAAATGGAATGGAGTTTAGTGGAGTGGAGTGGAATGGAGTAAAATGGAGTGGAGTGGAGTGGAATGGAATGGAGTGGAATGGAATGGAACAGAACGTAACAGAATGGAACGGAATGAAACGGACTGGAGTGTAGTGTAGTTGAGTGGAATGTATCGGAGTGCAGTGGAATGGAATGGAATGGAGTGGAATGGACTGGAGTGGAGTGGAGTGGAATAGAGTATAGTGGAGTGGAGTGGAATGGACTGGAGTGGAATGGAGTGGTACAGAGTGGAATGGAATGGAACGGAATGCAATGCAATGGAAAAGAATGGAATGGATTGGAATGGAACGGAGTTTAGTGGAGTGGAGTGGAGTTGAGTGTAGTGGAGCAGAATGAAATTGAATGGAATGGAATGGAAAGGAATGGTGAAATGAAATTTGAGCTAAGATTGTGCCACTACACTCCTGTCTGGGTGATAGAGTGAAACCCAGTCGAAATAAAGGAATGGAATGGAATGGAGTAGAATGGAATGGAATGGAGTCGAGTGGAATGGAATGGAGTGGAATCGAGTGTAGTGGAGTGGAATGGAGTGGAGTTGAGTGGAATATACAGGAATGGAATGGAACGGAATGGCAAGGAATTGAGTGGAATGGAGTGGAGTGGAGTGGAGTGGAGTGGAGTCAAGTGGAATGGAATGGAGTGGAATAAAGTGGAATGCAATGGAATGGAATGGAGTGCAATGGAATGGAATGGAGTTGAATGCAACGGAATGGAATGGAGTGGAATGGAATGGATTGGAGTGGAATGGAGTGGAGTGGAGTGGAAAGGAGTGAAATTAAGTGGAATGGAATGGAGTGTAATGGAGTGGAGTTCAATGGAATGAAAAGGAATGGAATGGAATGGAATGGAACGGAATGGTGTGTAATAGAATGGAATGTAATGGAGTGGAGTGGAATGGAGTGAAGTGGAGTGGAGTGGAGGGGAACGGAGGGGAATGGAATGGGATGGAGTTGAATGGATTGGAGTGGAGTGGAATGGTGTGAAATG
>NT_187451.1:37763-39285 GCF_000001405.40 Homo sapiens | reverse complement strand
CTCTTTTTGTAGAATTTGCAAGTGGACATTTGGAGCGATTTGAGGCATATTTAAAAAAATCTTCACATGAAAACTAGATAGAAGCATTCTGATAAACTTCTTTGTCATATGTGCATTCATTTAAAAGAGTTGAAACTTTCTTTTGATTCAGCAGTTTTGAAACACCCTTTTTGTACTATCTGTAAGTGGACATTTGGCGTGCATTGAGGCCTATGATGGAAAAGGAAATATCTTCACAATAACTAGACAGAAGCATTCTGACAAATTTCTTTGTGATGTGTGCATTCATCTCACAGGTTTAAACCTTTTATTTGATTGAACAGCTTTGAAACACTTTGTACAATCTGCATGTGGAAATTTGGTGCGCTTCGAAGCCTATGGTGGAAAAGGGAATATCTTCATATAAAACCTATACAGAAACATTCTGACAAACTTCTTTGTGATGTGCGCATTCATCTCACATATTTGAACCTTTCTTTTCATTGAGCAGTTTTGAAACACGTTTTTGTAGAATCTGCAAGTGTATATTTGTAGAGTTTTCAGGCCTATGGTGGAAAAGGAAATATCATCACATAAAAACTAGACAGAAGCATTCTGAGAAACTTCTCTGTGATGTGTGCATTCACCTCACATAGTTGAAATTTTCTTTTGATTGAGTAGTTTTTAAAAACTCTTTTTGCAGAATCTGCAGGTGGACATTTTGAGTACTGTGAGGCCTAGTGTGGAAAAGGAAACATCTTCACATTAAAACTAGACAGAATCATTCTGACAAACTTCTTTGGGATGTGTGCACTCACTTGACAGAGTTGGAAATTTCTTTTGATTGATCAATTTTGAAACACATTTTGTAGAATTTGCAAGAGGACATTTGTAGAGCTTTGAGGCCTATGGTGGAAAAGAAAATATTTTCACTTAAGTCCTAGACAGAAGCATTCTGAAAACCTTCTTTGTGATGTGTGCATTCATCTCACAGAGGTGAACCTTAGTTTTGATTGAACTGTTTTGAAACACTCTTGTTGTAGAATCTACAATAGGACATTTGGAGCGCTTTGCGGACTCTGGTGGAAAAGGAAATATCCTCACATAAAAACTAGTCAGAAGATTTCTGACAAACTTCTTTGTGAGGTGTGCATTCATCTCACAGAGTTGAACTTTACTTTCGATTGAGCAGTTTTGAAACACTTCTTTTGTAGAATCTGCAGGTGGACATCTGGAGTGCTTTGAGACCTAAGTTGGAAAATGAGATATCTTCACATAATAAATAGAAGCATTCTGAGAAACTACTTTGTGATGTGTGCATTCATCTCACAGAGTTGAAACTTTCTTTTGATTGAGTAGCTTTGAAACACTCTTTTGGTAGACCCTGCAAGTGGACATTTGGAGTGCTATGAGGTCTATGGTGGAAAAGTAAATATCTTAACATAAAATCTCTACAGAAACATTCTTAGAAACTTCTTTGTGATGTATGCATTCATCTCACAAAGCTGAAACTTTCTTTTGATTGAGCAGTTTTAGAACACTC
>NT_187451.1:27103-35680 GCF_000001405.40 Homo sapiens | reverse complement strand
AAAAGGAAATATCTTCACATAAAAACCAGATAGAAATATTCTGAGAAACTTCTTCGTGATGTGTGCATTCATCTCAAGAGTTGAACCTTTCTTTTGAAGGACCAGTTTTTAAATACTCTTTTCGTAGAATCTGCAAGTGGACATTTCAAGTGCCTTGAGGCTTTATGGTGGAAAAGAAAATATCTTCATATAAACACCAGACAGAAGAATTCTGAGAAACTTCTTTGTTATGTGTGCGTTCATCTTACAGAGTTGAACCGTTCTTTTCAATGAGCAGTTTGGAAACACTACATTTTTAGAACCTGCAAGTGGAGATTTGGAGTGCTTTGTGGTCTATGGTAGAAAAGGAAATATCTTCACATAAAATCCAGACAGAAGAAATCTGAGAAACTTCTTCATGATGTGTGCATTCATCTCCCAGAATTTAAGCTTTCTTTTGATGGATCAGTTTTGGAATACTCTTTTTGTTGAATCTGCAAGTGGAGATTTTGAGCACCTTGAGGCCTATTGTGGAAAATGAAACACCTTCACATAAAAACTAGACAGAAGAATTCTGAGAAGCTTCTTTGTGATGCGTGCACTCATCTCACAGAGTTGAACATTTCTTTTGATTGAGCAGTTTGGAAACACTCTTTTTGTTGAATCTGAAAGGGGACATTTGGTGCACTTTGCAGCCTATGGTAGAAAAGGAAATATCTTCACAAAAAATCTAGACAGAAGCAACATGAGGAACTTCTTTGTGATGTGTGCATTCATCTCACAGAGTTAAAACCATTTTTTAATTGAGCAGTTTTGAAACTCTCTTTTTGTAGAATCTGGACGTAGACAAGTGCAGCGTTTTCAGGCCTATAGTGGAAAAGGAAATATCTTCACATAAAAACTAGACAGAAGAAATCTGAGAAACTTCTTTGTGATGTATCCGTTCATCTCACAGAGTTGTAACTTTCTTTTCATTGAGCAGTTTGGAAACATAATTTTTGTACAATCTGCAAGTGGACATTCCGAGCGCTTTGCAGCCTATGGTAGAAAAGGAAATATCTTCACATAAAATCTAGACAGAAGCAATCAGAGAAAATTCTTTCTGATGTGTGCATTCATCTCACAGAGTTAAACCTTTCTTTTGATTGAGCAGTTTTGAAACTGTTTTTGTAGAATCTGCAAGTTGACATTTGGAGGGCTTTGTGGCCTATGGTAGAAAAGGAAATATCTTCACATAAAATCTAGACAGAAGCAATCTGAGAAACTTCCCTGTGATGTCTGCGTTCATCTCACAGAGTTATAATTTCCTTTGAAAGAGCAGTTTTGATACTTTCTTTTGTAGAATCTGCAAGTGGATATTTGGAGCACTTTGAGACCTATGATAAGAAAGTATATATCTTCACATAAAATCTAGACAGAAGCAATCTGAGAAACTTCATTGTGATGTGTGCATTCATGTCATAGAGTTAAACCTTTCTTTTTGATTGAGCAGTTTTTTTTTTTTTTTTAGAATCTGCTAGTGGACGTTTAAAGCACATTGAGACCCATGACGGAAATGGAAATATCTTCACATAAAATCTAAACGGAGGATTTTTGAGAAACTTCCTTTTGATGTGTGTGTTCATCTCACAGAGTTGAATCTTTCTTTTATTGAGCAGTTTGGAAACACTCTTTCTGCAGAATCTGCAGGAATATATTTGGAGCATTTTGAGGCCTATGGAGGAAAAGAAATATCTTCAGATAAAAACTAGTTAGAAGCATTCTGAGGAACTTCTTTGTGATGTGTGCATTCATCTCCCAGAGTTCAACATTTCTTTTGATGGACCAGTTTTGAAGTAATCTTTTTGTGGAATCTGCAAATGGACGTTTGGAGCTCCTTGAGGCCTATGGTGGAAAACGAAATATCTTCAATAAAAACTAGACAGAAGCATTCTGAATAACTTCTTCGTGATGTGTAAATTCATCTCCCAGATTGGAATCTTTCTTTTAATGGACCAGATTTGAAATCCTCTTTTTGTAGAATCTGCAAGTGGACATTTTGAGCACCTTGAGGCCCGTTGAGGGAAAAGAAATACTTTCACATTAAAACGAGAAAGAAGAATTTTGAGAAACTTCTTTGTGATTTGTGCGTTCATATCACAGAGTTGAAACTTTCTTTTGATTGTGCAGTTTGGAAACTCTCTTTTTGTAGAATCTGCCAGTGGACATTTGGTGTGCTTTGCAGCCTATGGTAGAAAAGGAAATCTCTTCACAGAAAATCTAGACAGAAGCAATCTGAGAAACTTCTTTGTGATGTGTGCATTCATCTCAAAGAGTGAAAACTTTCTTTTGATGGAGTAGTTTTGAAATTTTCTTTTTGTGGAATCTACAAATTGACATTGGGAGCGCTTTGAGGACTAAGGTGGAAAAGGAAATATGTTCACATAAAAACTAGTCAGAAGAATTCTAAGAACCTTCTTTGTGATGTGCGCATTCATCTCACAGATTTGAACATTTCTTTTGATTGAGCAGTTTGGAAACAATCTTTTTGCAAAATCTGCATGTGGATATTTGGAGCGATTTGAGGCCTATGGTAGAAAAGGAACTATCTTCACATAAAATCTAGACAGAAGCAATCTGAGAAACTTCTTTGTGATATGTGCATTTATTTCACAGAGTTAAACCTTTCTTTTGATTGAGCAGTTTTAAAACTCTCTTTTTGTAGGATCTGCATGTGGACATTTGGAGCGGTTTGAGGCCTATGGTGGAAAAGGAAATATCTTCACATAAAAATAAGATTGAAGCATTCAGAGAAACTTCTTTCTGATGAGTGCATTCATCTCCAAGAGTTGAAGCTTCCTTTGATGTACCAGTTTTGAAATTCTCTTTTTGTAGAATCTGCAAGTGTACATTTGGAGCGCCTAGGGGCCTATGGTAGAAAAGGATATATCTTCACTTAAAATCTAGACAGAAGTAATCTGAGGAACTTCTTTGTGATGTAGGCATTCATCTGACAGAGTTAACCCTTTCTTTTGATTGACCAGTTTTGAATCTCTCTTTTGTAGAACCTGCAAGGGGAGATTAAGAACCCTTTGAGGCCTATGGTGGAAAACGAAATATCTTCCCATGAAAACTAGACAGAAGAATTCTGACTAACTTCTTTGTGAAGCATGCGTTCATCTCACAGAGTTGAACCTTTCTTTTGATTGAGCAGTTTGGAGACACCCTTTTGTAAAATCTCCCAGTGGACATTTGGAGCGCATTGCAGCCTACAGTAGAAAAGGAAATATCTTCAAATAAAATCTTGACAGAAGCAATCTTAGAAACCTCTCTGTGATGTGTGCATTCATCTCACTGAGTGAATCCTTTCTTTTGATTGAGCAGTTTTGAAACTCTCTTTTTGTTGAATCTGCAATTGGACATTGGGAGCACTTTGAGGCCTGTGGTGGAAAAGGAAATATCATCACACAAAAACTAGACAGAGGAATTCTGAGAAACTTCTTTCTGATGTGTGCATTCATCTGACAGAGTTCAACCTTTGTTTGATTGAGCAGTATGGAAACACTCTTTTTGTAGAATCTGCAAGTGGACATTTGGAGCTCCTTGGGGCCTATGGTAGAAAAGGATATATCTTCATTTAAAATCTAGAAAAAAGCAATCTGAGAAACTTCTTTGTGATGTGTGCATTCATGCCACAGAGTTAAAACTTTCCTTTGATTGAGCAGTTTTGAAATTCTATTTTGTAAAATCTTCAAGTGGAGATTAAGAGCCCTTTGAGGCCTATGGTGGAAAACGAAATATCTTCACATAAAAACTAGACAGAAGAATACTGAGTAACTTCTTTGTGAAGCATGCGTTCATCTCACAGAGTTGAACTTTCTTTTGATTGAGCAGTTTAGAGACACCCTTTTGTAAAATCTCCCAGTGGACTTTTGGAGCGCATTGCAGCCTACGGTAGAAAAGGAAATATCTTCACATAAAATCTTGACAGAAGCAATCTTAGAAACGTCTCTGTGATGTGTGCATTCATCTCACTGAGTGAAACCTTTCTTTTGATTGAGCAGTTTTGAAACTCTCTTTTTATTGAATCTGCAATTGGACACTGGGACACTTTGAGGCCTAAGGTGGAAAAGGAAACATCTTCACATAAAATCTAGACAGAAGAATTCTGAGAAACTTCTTTGTTATGTGTGCATTCATCTGACAGAGTTGAACCTTTGTTTGATTGAGCAGTATGCAAGCACTCGTTCTGTGGAATCTGCAAGTGGACATTTGGAGCGTTTTGCAGCCTATGGTAGTAAAGGAAATATCTACACATAAAATCAAGACAGAAACTATCTGAAAAACTCCTTTTGTGACGTGTGCATTCATATTCCAGAGTTAAACTTTTCTTTTGGTTCACCAATTTTGAAACTCTCTTTTTGTGTAATCTGCAAGTGGACATTTTGAGGGCTTTGAGGCTGATGGTGGAAAAGGAAATATCTTCAATAAAATCTAGACAGAAGCATTCTGAATAACTTCTTCTTTATGTGTGTTTTCATCTCCCAGAGTTGAACCTTTCTTTTAATGGACCAGTTTTGAAATACTCTTTTTGTAGAATCTGCAATTGGACATTTTGGGCACCTTGAGGCCTGTAGAGGGAAAAGAAATACTTTCACATTAAAAGGATACAGAAGAATTTTGAGAAACTTACTTGTGATTTGTGCATTCATATCACAGAGTAGAAACTTACTTTTGATTGTGCAGTTTGAAACTCTATTTTGTAGAATCTGCCAGTGGATATTTGGTGCACTTTGTGGCCTATGGTAGGAAATGAAATCTCTTCACAGAAAATCTAGACAGAAGCAATCTGAGAAACTTCTTTGTGATGTGTGCATTCATCTCAAAGAGTGAAACCTTTCTTTTGATGGAGTAGTTTTGAAATTTTCTTTTTGTGGAATCTGCAAATTGACATTAGGAGTGCTTTGAGGCCTAAGGTGGAAAAGGAAATATGTTCACATAAAAACTAGACAGAAGAATTCTGAGAACATTCTTTATGATGTGTGCATTCATTTCACAAAGTTGAATATTTCTTTTTATTGAACAGTTTGGAAACAAACTTTTTGTAGGATCTGCATATGGATATTTGGAGCGATTTGAGGCCTATGGTAGAAAGGGAAATATCTTCACATAAAATCTAGACAGAAGCAATCTGAGAAACTTCTTTGTGATATTTGCCTTTATCTCAGAGAGTTAAATATTTCTTTTGATTAAGCAGTTTTAAAACTCTCTTTTTGTAGGATCTGCAAGTGGACAATTGGAGCGCTTTGAATCCTATGGTGGAAAACGAAATATCTTCACATAAAAACAAGATTGAAGCATTCAGAGCAACTTCTTTGTGATGTGTGCATTCATCTCCAAGAGTTGAACCTTCCTTTTGATGTACCAGTTTTGAAATTCTCTTTTTGTAGAATCTGCAAGTGGACATTTGGAGTGCCTTGGGGCCTATGGTAGAAAAGGATATATCTTCACTTAAAATCTAGACAGAAGTAATCTGAGAAACTTCTCTGTGATGTGTGCATTCGTGTCACAGAGTCAAACCTTTCTTTTGATTGAGCACTTTTGAAACTCTCTTTTGTAGAACCTGCAAGTGGAGATTAATAGCCCTTTGAGGCCTGTGGTGGAAAACGAAATATCTTCACATAAAAACTAAACAGAAGTATTCTGAGTAACTTCTTTGTGAAGCATGCGTTCATCTCACAGAGTTGAACCTTTCTTTTAATTGAGCAGTTTGGAGACACCCTTTTGTAAAATGTCCCAGTGGACATTGGGAGCACTTTGCGACCTACGGTAGAAAAAGAAATATCTTCACATAAAATCTTGACAGAAGCAATCTTAGAAACTTCTCTGTGATGTGTGCATTTATCTCACTGAGTGAAACCTTTCTTTTGAGTGAGCAGTTTTGAAACTCTCTTTTTGTTGAATCTGCAATTGGACATTGGGAGCACTTTGAGGCCTAAGGTGGAAAAGGAAATAACCTCACATAAAAACTACACAGAAGAATTCTGAGAAACTTCTTTTTTATGTGTGCGTTCATCTCACAGAGTTGAAACTTTGTTTGATTGAGCAGTATGGAAACACTCTTTTTGTAGAATGTGCAAGTGGACATTTGGAGCGTTTTGCAGCCTATGGTAGAAAAGGAAATATCCACACATAAAATCTAGACAGATCCTATCTGAAAAACTTCTTTGTGACGTGTGTATTCATATTCCAGAGTTAAACCTTTCCTTTGATTTAGCGGTTTTGAAACTCTCTTTATGTGTATTCTGCAAGTGGACATTTGGAGGGCTTGGAGGCCAATGGTGGAAAAGGAAATAGCTTCAACAAACACTAGATGGAAGCATTCTGAATAACTTCTTCGTGATGTGTGTATTCATCTCCCATAGTTGAACCTTTCTATTAATTTACCAGTTTTGAAATACTCTTTTTGTAGTATCTGCAAGTGGACATTACGAACACCTTGAGGCCTATAGAGGGAAAGGAAATACTTTCACATAAAAACGAGACAGAAGAATTCTGAGAAACTTCTTTGTGATTTGTGTATTCATATCACAGAGTTGAACCTTTCTTTTGATTGAGCAGTTTGGAAACATTCTTTTTGTAGGATCTGCCAGTGGACATTTGGAGCGTTTTGCAACCTATGGTACAAAAGGAAATATCTTCACTTAAAATCTAGACAGAAACTATCCGAAAAACTTCTTTGTGACGTGTGCATTCATATCCCAGAGTTAAACCTTTCCTTTGATTTAGCAGTTTTGAAAATCTCTTTATGTGCATTCTGCAAGTGGACATTTGGAGGGCTTTGAGGCCGATGGTGGAAATGGAAATATCTTCAATAAACACTAGATAGAAGCATTCTGAATAACTTCTTCACGATGTGTGTATTCACCTCCCATAGTTGAACCTTTCTATTAATGGGCCAGTTTTCAAATACTCTTTTTGTAGTATCTACAATTGGACATTACGAGCACCTTGAGGCCTGTAGTGGGAAAGAAATGCTTTCAAATATAAATGAGACAGAAGAATTCTGTGAAACTTCTTTGAGATTTGTGTATTCATACCACAGAGTTGAACCTTTCTTTTGATTGAGCAGTTTGGAAACACTCTTTTTGTAGAATCTGCCAGTGGACATGTGGAGTGCTTTGCAGTCTATGGTAGAAAAAGAAATGTCTTCACAGAAAATCAAGACAGAAGCAATCTGAGAAATTTCTCTGTGATGTGTACATTCACCTCACACAGTGAAATCTTTCTTTTGATGGAGTAGTTTTAAAATTTTCTTTTTGTGAAATCTGCAAATTGACATTGGGAGTGCTTTGAGGCTTAAGGTGGAAAAGGAAATATGTTCACGTAAAAACTAGACAGAAGAATTCTGAGAACCTTCTTTGTGATGTGTGCATTCATCTCACAGAGTTGAACCTTTCTTTTAATGGACCAGTTTTGAAATACTCTTTTTGTAGAATCTGCAAGTGGACATTTTGAGCACCTTGAGGGCTGTAGAGGGAAAATAAATACTTTCACACTAAAACGAGACAGAATAATTTTGAGAAACTTCTTTGTGATTTGTGCATTCATATCACAGAGTTGAAACTTTCTTTTGATTGTGCAATTTGGAAACTCTCTTTTTGTAGGATCTGCAAGTGGACATTTGGAGCGCTTTGAGGCCTATGGAGGAAAAGGAAATATCTTCACATAAAAACAAGATTGAAGCATTCAGAGAAACTTTTTTGTGATGTGTGCATTCATCTCCAAGAGTTGAACCTTCCTTTTGATGTACCAGCTTTGAAACACTCTTTTTGCAGAATCTGCAAGTGGACATTTGGAGTGCCTTGGGTCCTATGGTAGAAAAGGATATATTTTAACTTAAAATCTAGACAGAAGTAATCTGAGAAACTTCTTTGTGATGTGTCCATTCATCTCCAAGAGTCGAAACTTCCTTTTGATGTACCAGTTTTGAAATACTATTTTTGTTGAATCTGCAAGTGGACATTTGGAGCGCCTTGGGGCCTATGGTAGAAAAGGATATATCTTCATTTAAAATCTAGACAAAAGCAATCTGAGAAACTTCTTTGTGATGTGTGCATTCATGTCACAGAGTTAAAACTTTCTTTTGTTTCAGCAGTTTTGAAACACTCTTTTGTAGAATCTGCAAGTGGAGATTAAGAGCCCTTTGAGGCCTATGGTGGAAAACGAAATATCTTCACATAAAAACTAGACAGAAGACTTCTGAGTAACTTATTTGTGAAGCATGCGTTCATCTCACAGAGTTGAACCTTTCTTTTGATTGAGCAGTTTAGAGACACCCTTCTGTAAAATCTCCCAGTGGACATTGGAAGCACTTTGTGGCCTACGGTAGAAAAGGAAATATCTTCACATAAAATCTTGACAGAAGAAATCAGAGAAACTACTTTGTGATGTGTGCATTCATCTGAAAGAGTGAAACCTTTCTTTTGATGGAGTAGTTTTGAAATTTTCTTTTTGTGGAATCTGCAAATTGACATTGGGAGCACTTTGAGGCCTAAGGTGGAAAAGGAAATATGTTCACATAAAAACTAGACAGAAGAATTCTGAGAACCTTCTTTG
>NT_187451.1:9872-25848 GCF_000001405.40 Homo sapiens | reverse complement strand
TCATGTCACAGAGTTAAACCTTTCTTTTGATTGAGCAGTTTTCAAACTCTCTTTTGTAGAACGTGCAATTGGAGACTAATATCCTTTTGAGGCGTACGGTGGAAAACGAAATATCTTCACATAAAAACTAGACAGAAGAATTCTGAGTAACTTCTTTGTGATGCATGCATTCATCTCACAGAGTTGAACCTTTCTTTTGATTGAGCAGTTTGGAGACACCCGTTTATAAAATCTCCCAGTGGACATTTGGAGCACTTTATGGCCTACGGTAGAAAAGGAAATATCTTCACATAAAATCTTGACAGAAGCAATCTTAGAAACTTCTCTGTGATGTGTGCATTCATCTCACTGAGTGAAACCTTTCTTTTGAGTGAACAGTTTTGAAACTCTCTTTTTGTTGAATCTGCAATTGGACATTGGGAGCACTTTGAGGCCTAAGGTGGAAAGGGAAATATCTTCACATAAAAACTAGACAGAACAACTCTGCGAAACTTCTTTTTTATGTGTGCATTCATCACACAGAGTTGAACCTTTGTTTGATTGAGCAGTATGGAAACATTCTTTCTGTAGAATCTGCAAGTGGACATTTCGAGCAACTTGAGGCCTCTAGAGGGAAAATAAATACTTTCACATTAAAATGAGACAGAAGAATTTTGAGAAACTTCTTTGTGATTTGTGCATTCATATCACAGGGTTGAAACTTTCTTTTGATTGTGCAGTTTGGAAACTCTTTTTGTAGGATCTGCAAGTGGACATTTGGAGCGCTTTGAGGCCTATGGTGAAGAAGGAAATATCTTCACATAAAAACAAGATTGAAGCATTCAATGAACTTCTTTGTGATGTGTGCATTCATCTCCAAGAGTTGAAACTTCTTTTTGATTTACCAGTTTTGAAATACTCTTTTTGTAGGATCTGCAAGTGGACATTTGGAGCGCGTTGGGGCCTATGGTAGAAAAGGATATATCTTCATTTAAAATCTAGACAAAAGCAATCTGAGAAACTTCTTTCTGATGTGTGCATTCATGTCACAGAGTTAAACCTTTCTTTTGATTCTGCAGTTTTGAAACACTCTTTTGTAGAATCTGCTTGTGGAGATTAAGACTCCTTTGAGGCCTATGGTGGAAAACGAAATATCTTCACATAAAAACTAGACAGAAGATTTCTGAGTAACTTCTTTGTGAAGCATGCATTCATCTCACAGAGGTGAACCTTTCTTTTGATTGAGCAGTTTAGAGAAACCCTTCTGTAAAATCTCCCAGTGGACATTGGGAGCACTTTGCGGCCTACGGTAGAAAAGGAAGTATCTTCACATAAAATCTTGATAGAAGAAATCTGAGAAACTTCTTTGTGATGTGTGCATTCATCTGAAAGAGTGAAACCTTTCCTTTGATGGAGTACTTTTGAAATTTTCTTTTTGTGGAATCTGCAAATTGACATTGGGAGCGCTTTGAGGCCTAAGGTGGAAAAGGAAATATGTTCACATAAAAACGAGACAGAATAATTCTGAGAATCTTCTTAATGATACGTGCATTTATCTCAAAGAGTTAAACCTTTCTTTTGATTGAGCAGTTTTAAAACTCTCTTTTTGTAGGATCTGCAAGTGGACATTTGGAGCGCTTTGAGGCCTAAGGTGCAAAAGGAAATATGTTCACATAAAAACTAGACAGAAGAATTCTGAGAAACTTCTTTGTGATGTGTGCATTCATCTCAGATAGTTGAACATTTCTTTTGACTGAGCAGTTTGGAAACAATCTTTTTGTAGAATCTGCATGTGGACATTTGGAGCGATTTGAGGCCTATGGTAGAAAAGGAAATATCTTCACATAAAATCTTGACAGAAGCAATCTTAGAAACTTCTGTGATGTGTGCATTCACCTCACTGAGTGAAACCTTTCTTTTGATTGAGCAGTTTTAAAATTCTCTTTTTGTTGAATCTGCAATTGGACATTGGGAGCACTTTGAGGCCTGTCGTGGAAAAGGAAATATCTTCACATAAAAACTAGACAGAAGAATTCTGAGAAGCATCTTTTTTATGTGTGCGTTCATCTCACAGAGTTGAAACTTTGTTTGATTCAGCAGTATGGAAACACTCTTTTTGTAGAATCTGCAAGTGGATATTTGTAGCGTTTTGCAGCCTATGGTAGAAAAGGAAATATCTACACATAAAATCTAGACAGAAACTATCTGAAGAACTTCTTTGCGACGTGTGCATTCATATTCCAGAGTTAAACATTTCCTTTGATTTAGCAGTTTTGAAACTCTCTTTATGTGTATTCTGCAAGTGGACATTTGGAGGGCTTGGAGGCCGATGGTGGAAAAGGAAATATCTTCAATAAACACTAGATAGAAACATTCTGAATAACTACTTCGTGATGTGTGTATTCATCTGCCATAGTTGAACCTTTCTATTAATGGACCAGTTTTGATATACTCTTTTTGTAGAATCTGCAAGTGGACATTATGAGCACCTTGAGGCCTGTAGAGGGAAAAGAAATACTTTCACATAAAAATGAGACAGAAGAATTCTGAGAAACTTCTTTGTGATTTGTGCATTCATATCACAGAGTTGAACCTTTCTTTTGATTGAGCAGTTTGGAAACACTCTTTTTGTAGAATCTGCCAGTGGACATTTGGTGTGCTTTGTGGCCTAAGGTAGAAAAGGAAATCTCTTCACAGAAAATCAAGACAGAAGCAATCTGAGAAATTTCTTTGTGATGTGTGCATTCATCTCACACAGTGAAACCATTCTTTTGATGGAGTAGTTTTGAAATTTTCTTTTTGTGGAATCTGCAAATTGACATTGGGAGTGCTTTGAGGCCTAAGGTGGAAAAGGAAATATGTTCACATAAAAACTAGACAGAAGAATTCTGAGAAACTTCTTTATGATGTGTGCGTTCGTCTCACAGAGTTGAACCTTTCTTTTGATTGAGCAGTTTGGAAATACTCCTCTCGGAGAATCTGCATGTGGACATTTGGAGCGATTTGAGGCCTGCGGTACAAAAGGAAATATCTTCACATAAAATCTAGACAGAAGCAATCTGAGAAACTTCTTTGTGATGTGTGCATTCATCTCAACATTTGGAACGCATTGGGGCCTATGGTAGAAAAGGACACATCTTCATTTAAAATCTAGACAAAAGCAATCTGAGAAACTTCTTTGTGATGTGTACATTGATGTCACAGAGTTAAAACTTTCTTTTGATTGAGCAGTTTTGAAACTCTCCTTTGTAGAATCTGCAAGTGGAGATTAAGAGCCCTTTGAGGCCTATGGTGGAAAACGAAATATCTTCACATAAAAACTAGACAGAAGACTTCTGAGTAACTTCTTTGTGAAGCATGCGTTCATCTCACAGAGTTGAACCTTTTTTTTGATTGAGCAGTTTAGAGATACCCTTTTGTAAAATCTCTCAGTGGACATTGGGAGCCCTTTGCAGCCTACGGCAGAAAGGGAAATATTTTCACATAAAATCTTGAGAGAAGCAATCTTAGAAACTTCTCTGTGATGTGTGCATTCATCTCACTGAGTGAAACCTTTCTTTTGATTCTGCAGTTTTGAAACTCTCTTTTTGTTGAATCTGCAATTGGACATTGGGAGCACTTTGAGGCCTAAGGTGGAAAAGGAAATATCTTCACATAAAAACTAGGCAGAAGTATTCTGAGAAACTTCTTTTTTATGTGTGCATTCATCTGACAGAGTTGAACCTTTGTTTGATTGAACAGTATGGAAACACTCTTTCTGTAGAATCTGCAAGTGGATATTTGGAGCGTTTTGAAGCCTATGGTAGAAAAGGAAATATCTACAATTAAAATCTCGACAGAAACTATCTGAAAAACTTCTTTGTGACGTGTGCCTTCATATTCCAGAGTTAAACCTTTCTTTTGTTTGAGCAGTTTTGAAACTCTCTTTTTGTGTAATCTGCAAGTGGATATTTTGAGGGCTTTGAGGCTGATGGTGGAAAACGAAATGTCTTCAATAAAAACTAGACAGAAGCATTCTGAGTAACTTCTTCATGATGTGTGTATTCATCTCCCAGAGTTGAACCTTTCTTTTAATGGACCAGTTTTGAAATCCTCTTTTTGTAGAATCTGCAAGTGGACGTTTCGAGCATCTTGAGGCATGTAGAGGGAAAAGAAATACTTTCACATTAAAACGAGACAGAAGAATTTTGAGAAACTTCTTTGTGATTTGTGCGGTCATATCACAGAGTTGAAACTATCTTTTGATTGTGCAGTTTGAAACTCTTTTTTTGTAGGATCTGCCAGTGGACATTTTGTGCGCTTTGTGGCCTTTGGTAGAAAAGGAAATCTATTCACAGAAAATCTAGACAGAAGCAATCTGAGAAATTTCTTTGTGATGGGTGCATTCATCTCAAAGAGTGAAACCTTTCTTTTGATGGAGTAGTTTTGAAATTTTCTTTTTGTTGAATCTGCAAATTGACATTGGGAGCGCTTTGAGGCCTAAGATGTGAAAGGAAATATGTTCACATAAAAACTAGACAGAAGAATTCTGAGAACCTTCTTTGTGATGTGTGCATTCATCTCACAGAGTTGAACATTTCTTTTGATTGAGCAGTTAGGAAACAATCTTTTGTAGAATGTGCATGTGGACTTTTGGAGCGATTTGAGGCCCATGGTAGAAAAGGAACTATCTTCACATAAAATCTAGACAGAAGCAATCTGAGAAACTTCTTTGTGATATTTGCCTTTATCTCAGAGAGTTAAACATTTCTTTTGACTAAGCAGTTTTAAAACTCTCTTTTTGTAGGATCTGCAAGTGGACAATTGGAGTGCTTTGAATCCTATGGTGGAATACGAAATATCTTCACATAAAAACAAGATTGAAGCATTCAGAGCAACTTCTTTGTGTTGTGTGCATTCATCTCCAGGACTTGAACCTTCCTTTTGATGTACCAGTTTTGAAATACTCTTTTTGTAGAATCTGCAAGTGGACATTTGGAGTGCTTTGGGGCCTATGGTAGAAAAGGATATATCTTCACTTAAAATCTAGACAGAAATAATCTGAGAAACTTATTTGTGATGTGTGCATTCATGTCACAGAGTTAAACCTTTCTTTTGATTGAGCAGTTTTGAAACTCTCTTTTGTAGAACCTGCAAGTGGAGATTAAGAGCCCTTTGTGGCCTATGGTAGAAAAAAAATATCTTCACATAAAAACTAGACAGAGGAATTCTGAGTAACTTCTTTGTGAAGCATGCGTTCATCTCACAGAGCTGAAACTTTATTTTGATTGATCAGTTTGGAGACACTCTTTTGTAAAATCTCCCATTGGACATTTGGAGCACTTTGCGGACTACAGTAGAAAAGGAAATATCTTCACATAAAATCTTGAGAGAAGCAATCTTAGAAACTTCTCTGTGATGTGTGCATTCATCTCACTGAGTGATACCTTTCTTTTGAGTGAGAGTTTTGTAACTCTCTTTTTGTTGAATCTGCAATTGGACATTGGGAGCACTTTGAAGCCTAAGGTGGAAAAGGAAATATCTTCACATAAAGTCTTGACAGAAGCAATCATATAAACTTCTCAGTGACGTGTGCATTCATCTCACTGAGTGAAGCCTTTCTTTTGATTGAGCAGTTTTGAATCTCTCTTTTTGTTGAATCTGCAATTGGACATTGAGAGAACATAGAGGCCTAAATTTGAAAAGGAAATATGTTCACATAAAAACTAGACAGAAGAATTCTGAAAAACTTCTTTTTAATGTGTGTGTTCATCTCACAGAGTTGAACCTTTGTTTGATTGAGCAGTTTGGAAACACTCTTTTTGTAGAATCTGCATGTGGACATTTGGAGCGATTTGAGGCCTATGGTACAGAAGGAAATATCTTAACATAAAATCTAGACAGAAGCAATCTGAGAAACTTCTTTGTGATGTCTGCATTCATCTCACAATGTTAAACCTTTCTTTTCATTGAGCAGTTTTAAAACTCTCTTTTTGTAGGATCTGCAAGTGGACATTTGGAGCACTTTGAGGCCTATTGTGGAAAAGGAAATGTGTTCGCATAAAAACAAGATTGAAGAATTCAGAGAAACTTCTTTGTGATGGGTGCCTTCATCTCCATGAGTTGAACCTTTCTTTTGATGTACCAGTTTTGAAATACTCTTTTTGCAGAATCCGCAAGTGGACATTTCGAGCACCTTGAGGCCTATGGTGGAAAAGAAAATATCTTCACATAAACACTAGACAGAAGAATTCTGAGAAACTTCTTTGTGATGTGTGCATTCATCTCAATAAGTTGAACCTTTCTTTTGATGGACCAAGTTTGAAATACTCCTTTTGTAGAATCTGCCAGGGGGCATTTCGAGCGCCTTTTGTCCTATGGTGGAAAATGAAATATCTTCACATCAAAACTAAACAGAAGAATTCTGATAAACTTTTCTTGTGATGCTTGCGTTTATCTCACAGAGTTGAACCTTTCTCCTGATTGAGCAGTTTTGAAACACTGTTTTTGTAGAATCTGCAAGGGGACATTTGGAGTGCTTTGGTTCTATGGTGGAAAAGGAAATAACTTCACATAAGATCTAGACAGAAACCGTCTGAGAAACCTTTTGTGATGTGTGCATTGATCTCACAGAGTTAAACCTTTCTTTTGTTTGAGGAGTTTTCAAACTCTCTTTATATAGTATCTGCAAGTGGACATTTGGAGCCGTTTGTGGTCTATGATGGAAACAGAAATATCTTCACATAAAAACTAGACAGAAGAATTCTGAGAAACTTATTTGTGATGTGTGCATACATCTGACAGTGTTAAACCATTCTTTTGATTAAGCAGTTTTGAAATACACTTTTTGTAGAGTCTGAAAGTGGACATTTCAAGCACCTTGAGGCCTATGGTGGAACACGAAATATCTTCACATAAAATCTAGACAGAAGAATTCTGAGAAACTTCTTTGTGATGTGTGCATTTATCTCACAGAGTTAACCGTTTCTTTTGATTGAGCACTTTGGAAACTCTCTTTTTGCAGAACCTGCAAGTGGACATTTGGAGCGCTTTGAGGCCTACGGTGGAAAAGGAAATATCTTCACATAAAAACTAGATAGAAGCATTCTGAGAAGCTTCTTTGTGATGTGTGCATTTATTTCCTAGTGTTGAACCTTTGTTTTGACGGACCAGTTTTGAATTACTCTTTTTGTAGAATCTGCAAGGGCACATTTCGATTACCTTGAGGCTTCTGGTGCAAAAGGAAATATCTTCACATTAAAACTGGACAGAAGAATTCTGAGAAACTTTTTTGTGATGTGTGCCTTCATCTCACAGAGTTAACCTTTCTTCTGATTGAGCAGTTTGGAAACTCTCTTTTTGTAGAATCTACAAGTGGACATTTTGAGTGGTTTGCTACGTATGGTAGAAAAGGAAATATCATCACATAAAACCTAGACAGAAGAAATCTTAGAAACTTATTTGTGAAGTGTGCATTCATCTCACAGAGATAAACCTTTCTTTTGATTGAGCGGTTTTGAGACTCTCTTTTTGTAGAATTTGCAAGTGGACATTTTAATCACTTTGAGAACTATGGTAGAAAAGGAAATATCTTCACATAAAAACTAGACAGAAGTATTCTGAGAAACTTCTTTGTGATGCATGCATTCATCTCACAGAGTTGAACCTTTCTTTTGATTGAGCAGTTTTGAAAAACTCTTTATGTAGAATCTGCAAGGGGACATTAAAAGCGCTTCGGGTTCTATGGTAGAAAAGGAAATAACTTCACATAAAATCTAGACAGAAGCAATCTGAGAAACTTTTTGTGATGTGTGCATTCATCTCACAGAGTTAAACCTTCCTTTTGATTTAGCAGTTTTGGCAGTCTCTTTTTGGAGAATCTGCAAGTGGACATTTGGAGTGCTTTTAGGCCTGTGGAAGAAAAGGAAATATCTTCACATAAAAAGTAGACAGAAGAATTTTGAGAAAATTCTTTGTGATGCCAGCGTTCATCTGACAGAGTTGAACCTTTCTTTTGATTGAGCAGATTGGAAACACTCTTTTTGTAGAATCTGCCAGTGGACATTAGGAGAGTTTTGTGGCCTGTGGTGGAAAAGGAATTATCTTCACATTAAATCTAGAAAGAAGCAATCTGAGGAACGTCTTTTTGTTGTGTACATTCATCTCACAGAGTTAAACATTTCTTTTGATTGAGCAGTTTTAAAACTCTCTTTTTATAAAATCTGCAAGTGGACATTTGGAGCACCTCGAGGCCAATGTTGCAAAAGAAAATATATTCACATAAAAACTAGATAGAAACATTCTGAGAAACCTCTTGGTGATGTGTGCATTCATTTCCCAGAGTTGAACATTTCTATTGATGGACCACTTTTGAAATAATCTTTTTGTAGAATTTGCAATTTGACATTTCGACCACCTTGAGGCCTATTGTGGAAAATGAAATATCCTCAACAAAAAAACTAGAGAGAAGTATTCTGAGCAACTTCTATGTGAAGTGTGCGTTCGTCTCACAGAGTTGAACCATTCTTTAGATTGAGAAGTTTGGAAACTGTCTTTTTGTAGAATCTGCAAGTGGACATTTGGAGTGCTTTGTCACCTATGGTAGCAAAGGGACTATCTTCACATAAAATCTGGACGTAAAAAATCAGAGAAACTTCTTTGTGATGTGTGCATTCACCTCAGAGTGTTAAAGCTTTCTTTTGATTGAGAAGTTTTGAAACTCTCTTTTTGGAGAATCTGCAAGTGGATATTTGGAGGGCTTTAAGGCCTCTAGTGGAAATGAAAATATCTTCACATAAAAACTAGACAGAAGAATTCTGAGAAACTTCTTTGTAATGCGTGCATTCATCTCACAGAGTTGAACCTTTCTTTTGATTGAGCAGTTTGGAAACACTCTTTTTGTGGATCTGCAAGTGGACATTTGGAGTTCTTTGGGGCCTATGGTAGGAAAGAAAATATCTTCACATAAAATCCAGACAGAAGCAACCTGAGAAACTTGCTAGTGATGTGTGCATTCATCTAAGAGAGTTAAACCTTTCTTTTGGTTGAGCAGTTTTGAAAATCTGTTTTCGTAGAATCTGCAAGTGTACAGTTGGAGCACTTTGAGACCTGTGGTGGGAAAGGAAATATCTTCACATAAAAACTAGACAGAAGAATTCTGGGAAACTTCTTTGTGATGTGTGCATTCATCTCACGGAGTTGAACCTTTCTTTTGATTGAGCATTTTGTAAAAACTCTTTTTGTAGAATCTGCAAATGAAAATTTGGTGCGCTTTGCGGCCAATGGTAAAAAGGGAATATCTACACATCAAATCTAGAAAGAAGCAATCTGAGAAACTTCTTTGTGATGTGTGCATTAATCTCACAGAGTTAACATTTTCTTTTGATCGAGCAGTTTTGAAACTCTCTTTTTATAGAATCTGCAAGTGGATATTTGGAGCATTTTTAAGCCTACGGTAGAAAAAGAAATGTCTTCACATAAAATCTTGATAGAAGCATTCTGACAAACTTCTTTGTGATATGTGCATTCATCTCCCAGAGTTGAAACATTCTTTCAAAGGACTAGTTTTGAAATACTCTTTTATAGAATGTGCAAGTGGAACTTTCGAGCTTCTTGAGCCGTATGGTTGAAAGGAAATATCTTCACATAAAAACTAGACAGAAGAATTCTGAGAAACTGTTTTGTGATGTGTGTCTTCATCTCAGGGAATTGAAACTTTCTTTTGATTCAGCTGTTTGGAAACACTCTTTATGTAGAATCGGCAAGTGGACATTTGGAGCGCTTTATGGCCTATGATAGAAAAGGAAATATTTTCACATAAAATCTAGACTGAAGCAATCTGAGAAACTTCTTTGTAATGTGTGCATTCATCTCACAGATTTAAACATTTCTTTTGATTGAGCAGTTTTGAAACTCTCTTTTGTAGAATCTACACGTGGACATTTGGAGGTCTTTGAGGCCTGTGATGGAAAAGGAAATATCTTCATATGAAAACGAGACAGAAGAATTCTGACGAACTTCTTCTTGATGTGTGCGTTCATCTCACAGAGGTGAACTTTTCTTTTGATAGAGCAGTTTCGAAACACTCTTTTTTTAGAATCTGCAAGTGAACATTTTGAGCGATTTGTGGCCTATGGTAAAAAGAATGAAATATCTTAACATAAAATCTACACAGAATCAATCTGAGAAACATCTTTGTGATGTGGGCATTCACCTCACATAGTTGAGTCTTTCTTTTGATGGAGCAGTTTTGAAACTCTCTTTTTGTAGAATCTGCAAGTGGACATTTGAAGCGCTTTTTGGCCTATGTTAAAAAAGGAAATATCTTCACATAAAATCTAGACCGAAGCAATTTGAGAAACTTCTTTTTGATGTGTGCATTCACCTCACAGAATTAAACCTTTCTTTTGATTGAGCCGTTCTGAAACTCTCTTTCTGTAGGATCTGCAAGTGGACACTTGGAGCGCTTTGAGGCCTATGGTGGAGTAGGAAGTATCATCATATAAAAACTAGACAGAAGAATGGTGAGAAACTGCTTTGTGATGTGTACGTTTATATCACAGAGCTGAACCTTTCTTTTGATTATGCAGTTTGGAAACACTCTTTGTAGAATCTGGAAGTGGATATTTGGAGCGCTTAGCAGGCTATGGTAGAAAAGGAAATATCTTCCCATAAAATCTAGACACAAGCAATCTGAAAAACTTTGTGGTGTGTGCTTTCATCTCACAGTGTTAAAATTTTGTGTTGATTGAGCAGTTTTGAAACCCTCTTTTTGTAGAATCTGCAAGTGGGCATTTGGAGTGCTTTGAGGCCTATGTTGAAAAAGGAAATATCTTCACATAAAAACTACATAGAAACATTCTGAGAAACTTCTTTGTAATGTGTGCCTTCATCTCCCAGAGTTGAAACTTTCTTTTGATGAACTAGTTTTGAGGTACTCTTTTTGTAGAATCTGCAACTGGACATTTCTAGTGCCTTGAGGACTATGGTGGAAAATGAAATATCTTCACATAAAAACTAAACAGAAGAACTCTGAGAAACTTCTTTGTGATGTGTGCATTTATCTCACAGATTTGAAGCTTTCTTTAGATGGAGCAGTTTGGAAACCCTCTTTTTGTAGAATCTGCAAGTGGACATTTGGAGCGCTTTGTGGCTTATGGTAGAAAAGGAAATATCTTCACATAAAAACTACACAGAAGCATTCTCAGAAACTTCTTTGTGATGTGTGCATTTATCTCACAGAGTTAAACCTTTCTTTTGAATGAGCAGATTGGAAACACCCTTTTTGTAGTATCTGCAATTGGACATTTGGAACACTTTGTGGCCTATGGTAGAAAAGGAAATACCTTCACATACAATCCAGACAGAAGTAATCTGGGAAACTTCTTTGTGATATGTGCTTTCATCTCACAGAGTTGAACTTTTCTTTTGATTGAACAGTTTGGAAACTGCATGTAGACACTTGGAGCGATTTGTGGCCTATGGCAGAAAAGGAAATATCTTCACATAAAATCTAGACAGAGGCAATCTGAGAAACTTTTTATGATGTGTGCATTCATCTCAGAGAGTTAAACATTTCTTTTGATTGAGGTGTTTTTTTTTTTTTAATTCTTTTTTTTTATTTTTTTTTTATTTTTTTTTTATTATACTCTAAGTTTTAGGGTACATGTGCACATTGTGCAGGTTACATATGTATACATGTGCCATGCTGGTGCGCTGCACCCACTAACGTGTCATCTAGCATTAGGTATATCTCCCAATGCTATCCCTCCCCCCTCCCCCGACCCCACCACAGTCCCCAGAGTGTGATATTCCCCTTCCTGTGTCCATGTGATCTCATTGTTCAATTCCCACCTATGAGTGAGAATATGCGGTGTTTGGTTTTTTGTTCTTGCGATAGTTTACTGAGAATGATGGTTTCCAATTTCATCCATGTCCCTACAAAGGACATGAACTCATCATTTTTTATGGCTGCATAGTATTCCATGACGTATATGTGCCACATTTTCTTAATCCAGTCTATCATTGTTGGACATTTGGGTTGGTTCCAAGTCTTTGCTATTGTGAATAGTGCCGCAATAAACATACGTGTGCATGTGTCTTTATAGCAGCATGATTTATAGTCCTTTGGGTATATAGCCAGTAATGGGATGGCTGGGTCAAATGGTATTTCTAGTTCTAGATCCCTGAGGAATCGCCACACTGACTTCCACAATGGTTGAACTAGTTTACAGTCCCACCAACAGTGTAAAAGTGTTCCTATTTCTCCACATCCTCTCCAGCACCTGTTGTTTCCTGACTTTTTAATGATTGCCATTCTAACTGGTGTGAGATGATATCTCATAGTGGTTTTGATTTGCATTTCTCTGATGGCCAGTGATGATTAGCATTTCTTCATGTGTTTTTTGGCTGCATAAATGTCTTCTTTTGAGAAGTGTCTGTATGATTGAGGTGTTTTGAAACTCTGTTTGTAGAATCTGCAATTGGACATTTGGAGCGATTTGAGGCCTATAGTGGGAAAGGAAATATCTCCACATAAAAACTAGACGGAAGAATTCTTAGAAACTTCTTTGTGATGTGGGCGTTCATCTCACAAAGTTGAAGCTTTCTTTTGATTGAGCAGCTTGGAAACACTCTTTTTGTAGAATCTGCAAGTGCACATTTGGAGCGCTTTGGGACCTATGGTAGAAAAGGAAATATCTTCACATAAAATCTAGACAGAAGCAATCTGAGTAACTTCTTTGTGATGTGTGCATTCATCTCACAGAGTTGAACCTTTCCTTTTTTTATTAGTATACTTTATGTTTTAGGGTACCTGTGCACAATATTCAAATTAGTTACATATGTATACATGTGACATGCTGGTGCGCTGCACCCACTAAGTCGTCATCTAGCATTAGTTATATCTCCCAATGCTATTTCTCCCCCCTCCCCCGACCCCACAACAGTCCCCAGAGTGTGATCTTCCCCTTCCTGTGTCCATGTGATCTCATTGTTCAATTCCCACCTATGAGTGAGAATATGCGGTGTTTGGTTTTTTGTTCTTGCGATAGTTTACTGAGAATGATGATTTCCAATTTCATCATGTCCCTACAAAGGACATAAACTCATCTTTTTTTGTGGCTGCATAGTATTCCATGGTGTATATGTGCCACATTTTCTTAATCCAGTCTATCATTGTTGGACATCTGAGTTGGTTCCAAGTCTTTGTTATTGTGAATAGTGCTGCAATAAACATACGCATGCATGTGTCTTTATAGCAGCATGATTTACAGTCCTTTGGGTATATACCCAGTAATGGGATGGCTGGGTCAAATGTTAATTCTAGTTCTAGATCCCTGAGGAATCGCCACATGGACTGCCACAATGGATGAACATGTTTACAGTCCTACCAACAGTGTAAAAGTGTTCCTATTTCTTCACATCCCCTGCAGCACCTGTTGTTTCCTGACTTTTTAATGATTGCCATTCTAACAGGTGTGAGATGATATCTCATTGTGGTTTTGATTTGCATTTCTCTGATGGCCAGTGATAGTGAGCATTTCTTCATGTGTTTTTTGCCTGCATAAATGTATTCTTTTGAGAAGTGTCTGTTCATGTACTTCACCATCTTTTTGATGGTGTTGTTTTTTTTCCTTGTAAATTTGAGTTCATTGTAGATTCTGGATATTAGCCCTTTGTCAGATGAGTAGGTTGCAAAAACTTTCTCCTATTTTGTGGGTTGCAAATCAATAAATGTAATCCAGTATTTAAACAAAACCAAAGACAAAAACCACACTATTATCTCAACAGATGCAGAAAAAGCCTTTGACAACATTCAACAACGCTTCATGCTAAAAACTCTCAATAAATTATGTATTGATAGGACGTATCTCAAAATAATAAGAGCTATCTATGACAAACCCACAGCCAATATCATACTGAATGGGTAAACACTGGAAACATTCCCTTTGAAAACTGGCACAAGACAGGGATGCCCTCTCTCACCACTTCTATTCAACATAGAGTTGGAAGTTCTGGCCAGGGCAATTAGGCAGGAGAAGGAAACAAAAGGTATTCATTCAGGAAAAGAGGAAGTCAAATTGTCCCTGTTTGCAGACGACATGATTGTATATCTAGAAAACCTGATAGTCTCAGCCCAAAATCTCCTTAAGTTGATAAGCAACTTCAGCAAAGTCTCAAGATACAAACTCAATGTACAAAAATCACAAGCATTCTTACACACCAATAACAGAAAAACAGAGAGCCAAATCATGAGTGAACTCCCATTCACAATTGCTACAAAGAGAATAAAATACCTAGGAATCCAATTTACAAGGGATGTGGAGGACCTCTTCAAGGAGAACTACAAACTATTGCTCATGAAATAAAAGAGGATACAAACAAATGGAAGAACATTCCATCCTCATGGGTAGGAAGAATCAATATCGTGAAAATGGCCATACTGCCAAAAGTAATTTATAGATTCAATGCCATCCCCATCAAGCTACCGATGACTTTCCTCACAAAATTGGAAAAAAAACTACTTTAAAGTTCATATGGAACCAAAAAAGAGCCCGCATCACAAATCAATCCTAGGCCAAAAGAGCAAAGCAGGAGGCATCATGCCACCTGACTTCAAACTATACCACAAGGCTACAGTAACCCAAACAGCATGGTTTTGGTAGCAAAACAGAGATATATATGAATGGAACAGAACAGAGCCCTCAGAAATAACGCTGTATATCTACAACTATCTGATCTTTGACAAACCTGAGAAAAACAAGCAATGGAGAAAGGATTCCCTATTTAATAAATGGTGCTGGGAAAACAGGCTAGCCATATGTAGAAAGCTGAAACTGGATTCCTTCCTTACACCTTATACAAAAATTAATTCAAGACGGATTAAAGACTTAAACTTTGGACCTAAAACCATAAAAACCCTAGAAGAAAACCTAGGCATTACCATTCAGGACATAGGCATGGGCAAGTACTTCATGTCTAAAACACCAAAAGCAATGGCAACGAAAGCCAAAATTGACAAATGGGATCTAATTAAACTAAAGAGCTTCTGCACAGTAAAAGAAACTTCCATCAGAGTGAAACTTTCTTTTGATTCAGCAGTTTGGAAACACTCTTTTTCTAGATTCTGCAAGTGGACGTTTGGAGCGCTTTGCGGCCTATATAGAAAAGGAAATATCTTCACATAAAATCTATACAGAAGCATTCTGAGAAACTTCTTTGAGATGTGTGCATTCATCACACAGAGTTAAACCTTTCTTTTGATTGAGCAGTTTTGAAATTCTCTGTCTGTAGAATCTGCAAGTAGATATTTGGAGCGCTTTGAGGTCTACGGTGGAAAAGGAAATATCGTCACATAAATACTAGACAGAAGAATTCTGAGAAACTTCCTTGTGATGTGTGCGTTCATGTCACAGAGTTGAACCTTACTTTTGATAGAGCAGTTTGGAAACACTCTTTTTGTAGAATCTGCAAGTGGACATTTGGAGCACCTTGTGGCCTATGTTAGAAAAGGAAATACCTTCACATAAAATCTAGACAGAAGAAATCTGAGAAACTACTTTGTGATGTGCGCACTTATGTCACAGTGTTAAATATTTCTTTTCATTGAGGAGTTTTCAGGCTCTCTTTCTGTAGAATATGCAAGTGGACATTTGAAGTGCTTTGAGGACTAATGGTGGAAAACGAAATATTTTCACATAAAAACTAGACAGAAGAATTCTGAGAAACTTCACTGTTATGTGTAGGTACATCTCACCGAGTTGAAACTTTCTTTTGATTCAGCATTTTGGAAACAATCTTTTAGTAGATTCTGCAAGTGGACATTTGGAGCGCTTTGCGGCCTATGTCAGAAAAGGTAAGATCCTCACATAAAATCTAGACAGAAGCAATCTGAGAAACTCCTTTGTGATGTGTGCATTAACCTCAAAGAGTTAAAACTTTCCTTTGATTGAGGAGATTCAAAGCTCTCTTTTTGTAGAGTCTGCAAGTTTACATTTGGAGCGCTTGAGGACCATGG
>NT_187451.1:0-6354 GCF_000001405.40 Homo sapiens | reverse complement strand
TTTCCCAGAAAGCTTCTGTGTAGTTTTAATCTGAAGATATTTCTTTTCCAAAATAGACCACAAAGCTCGTCAAATTTCCACTTCCAGGTTCTACAAAAAAAGTGTTTCCAAATTACTCAGTCAATAGAAAGATTCAACCCTTTGTGATGAATACACTCATCACAAAGATGTTTCCCAGAATGATTCTGTGTAGTTTTTATTTGAAGATATTTCCTTTTCCAACGTAGGCTGCAAAGGGCTCCAAAATTCCACCTGCAGATGCTACAAAAAGAGAGATTCAAAACTGCTCAATCAAAAGATAGGTTCAAATCTGTCAGTTGAATGCACACATCACAAAGAAGTTTCTCAGAATGCCTCTGTGTAGTTTTTATGTGAAGATATTTCCTTTTCCACAATAGGCCTGAAATTGCTCCAAATATCCAATTAGAGATTCTACAAAAAGAGAGATTCAAAACTGCCCAATCAAAAGATAGGTTCAACTCTGTCAGTTGAATGCACACATCACAAAGAAGTTTCTCAGAATGCCTCTGTGTAGTGTTTATGTGAAGATATTTCCTTTTCCACAATAGGCCACAAAGCACTCCAAATATCCACTTCAGATTCTGCAAAAAGAGAGATTCAAAACTGCTCAATCAAAAGATGGGTTTAACTCTGTGAGTTGAATGCACACCTCACAACAAAGTTTCTCAGAATGCTTCTGTGTACTCTTTATTTGAAAATATTTGCTTTTCCACAGTGGGCCTCAAAGCGATACAAATATCCACTTGCAGATTCTGCAAAAAGAGACTCAAAACTGCTCAATCAAAAGATAGGCTCAACTCTGTGTGTTGAATGCACACATAACAAAGGAGTTTCTCTGAATAATTCTGTGCAGTTTTTATGTTAAGATATTTCCTTTTCCAAAATAGGCCTCAAAGCCCTCCAAATATCCACTTCCAGATTCTACGAAAAGAGTGTTTCAAAACTGCTCAATCAAAAGAAACTTTCAACTCTGTGTGATGAATGCACTTAACACAAAGAAGTTTTTCAGAATGCTTATGTGTAGTTTTTATTTGAAGATATTTCCTTTTCCAACACAGGGTGCAAAGAGCTCCAAATATCCACTTCCACATTCTACAAACGGAGGGATTGAAAACTGCTCAATCAAAAAATTCGTTCAACACTGTGAGTTGAATGAACACATAACAGAGAAGTTTGTCAGAATGCTTCTATGTAGTTTTTATGTGAGGATATTTCCGTTTCCAAAATAAACCTCAAAGACCTTGAAATATCCACTTCCATCTTCTACAAAAGGAGAGTTTCAAAATTGCTCAATCAAAAGAAAGTTTCAAGTCTGTGATGAATGCACTCATCATAAAGAAGTTTCTCTGAATACTTCTGTGTAGTTTTTATTTGAAGATATTTCCTTTTCCACAACATGTCTCAAAGCTCTCCAAATATCCACTTGCAGATTCTGGAAAAATACTGTTTCAAAACTGCTCCATGAAAGGAAGTGTTCAACCCTGTGAGATGAATGCACACAACACAAAGACGTTTCTCAGAATGCTTCTATGTAGTTTCTATTTGATGATATGTCCTTTTCCTCCATTGGCTGCAAAGGGCTCCAAATATCCAGTAGCAGATCCTACAAAACAGATATTCAAAACTGCCGAATCAAAAGATGATACGTTCAACACTGAGAGTTGAATGCACACCTCACAAAGAAGCTTCTCAGAATGCTTCTGTGTAGTTTTTATGTGAAGATGTTTCCTTTTCCACATTTGGCCTCAAAGTTCTAAAATATCTGCCTGCAGATCCTGCAAAAAGAGTGTTTCAAAACTGCTCAATCAAAGGAAAGATTCAACTCTCTGTGATGAATGCACTCACCACAAAGAAGTTTCTTTGAATGCTTCTGCGCATTATTTATTTGAAGATATTTCCTTTTCCACCATAGGTTGCAAAGGGCTCCAAATATCCACTTGCCGAATCTACAAAGAGTTTCAATCAATAGATAGGTTCAACTATGTGAGTTGAAAGCACACATCACAGAGAAGTTTCTCAGAATTCTTCTGTACAGATTTTATGTGAAGATATTTCCTTCTCCGCAATAGGCCTCAAATCACTCCAAATATCCAATTAGAGATTCTACCAAAAGAGAGATTCAAAACTGCTCAATCAAAAGAAAGGTTCAACTCTGTGAGATGAATGCACACATCACAAGGAAGTTTCTCATAATGCTTCCGTGTAGTCTTTAGGTGAAGATATTTGCTTTTCCACAGTAGGCCTCAAAGTGCTCCAAATATCCACTTGCTGATTCTGCAAAAATAGTGTTTCAAAACTGCTCAATAAAAAGGAAGGTTCAACTCTGTGGGATGAATGCACTCATCACAAAGAAGTTTATCTGAAGGCTTCTGTGTAGTTGTTATTTGAAGTTATTTCCTTTTCCAACATAGTTGCAAAGGGCTCCAAATATCCACTTGTAGATTCTACAAAAAGAGACATTCAAAACTGCTCAATGAAAAGATAAGTCCAACTCTGTGGGTTGAATCCATACCTCACAAAGAAGTTTCTCAGAATGCTTCTCTGTAGTTTTTATGTGAATATATTTCCTTTTCCACAATAGGCCTCAAAGCTTTCCAAATATCCACTTGCAGATTCTGCAAAAAGAGAGATTCAAAACTGCTCTATCAAAAGATAGGTTCGACTCTGTGAGTTGAATGCAAACATCACAAAGAAGTTTCTCAGAATGCTTCTGTGTATTTTTTATGTGAAGATGTTTCGTTTTTCACCATAGGGCGAAATGGGGCTCCAAATATCCACTTGCAGATTCTACAAAAAGAGATTCTAGGCTGCTCAATCAAAAGATAGGTTCCACACTGTTAGTTGAATGCACACTTCCCAAAGAAGTTTCTCAGAATGCTTCTGTGTAGTTTTTATGTCAAGATATTTTCTTTTCCACAATAGGCCTCAAATCGCTCTAAATATCCACTTGCAGATTCTACAAAACGAGTGTTTCAAAACTGCTCAATCATAAGATAGGAGCAACCCTGAGAGTTGAATGCACACATCACAAAGAAGTTTCTCAGAATGCTTCTGTGTAGTTTTAATTTGAAGATATTTCATTTCCCAAAACAGGCCTCAAAGCTCTCCAAATATCCAATTGGTGATTCTGCAAAAAGAGGGTTTCAGTACTACTCAATAAAAAGAAAGGTTCAACTCTGTGAGGAATGCATTCATCACAAAGAAGTTTCTCTGAATGCTTCTGTGTAGTTTTTATGTGAAGATATTTCCTTTTCCACCATAGGGTGCAAAGAGCATTCATCACAAAGAAGTTTCTCTGAATGCTTCTGTGTAGTTTTTATGTGAAGATATTTCCTTTTCCACCATAGGGTGCAAAGAGCTCCAAATATCCACTTGCAGATTCTACCAAAAAAGAGATACAAAAGTTCTCAATGAAAAGATAAGTTCAACTCTGTGAGTTGAATGCACACCTCACAAAGAAGTTTCTCAAAATGCTTCTGTGTAGTTTTTATGTGAAGATTTTTGATTTTCCACAGTAGGCCTCAAAGCGCTCCAAATATCCACTCACAGATTCTGCAGAAAGAGAGATTAAAATCTGCTGAATCAAAAGATAGGTTCAACTCTGTGACTTCAATGCACACCTCACAAAGGTGTTTCTCAGAAAGCTTCTGTGTAGTTTTTATATGAAGATATCTCCTTCTCCAAAACAGAATTCAAAGCCCTCCAAATATTTACTTCCAGATTCTACAGAAAGATTGCCTCAAAACTGCTAAATCAAAACAAAGGTTCAACTCTGTGATGAATGCACTCATCAGAAATTAGGTTCCCTGAATGCTTCTGTGTAGTTTCTATTTGAAGATATTTCCTTTTCCACTATAGGGTGAAATAGGGCTCCAAATATTCACTTGCAGATTCTATAAAAAGAGAGATTCTAAACTGCTCAATCAACAGATAGGTTCAACACTGTGAGTTGAATGCACACATCACAAATAAGTTTCTCAGAATGCTTCTGGGTAGTTTTTATTTGAAGATATTTCTCTTTCCACAATAAGCCTCAAATTGCTCTAAATATCCACTTTCAGATTCTACAAAAAGAGTGTTTCAAAACTGCTCAATCAAAAGAAAGGTTCTACTCTGTGAGATGAATGCACACATCACAAAGTAGTTTCTCAGAATGCTTCTGCGTAGTTTTTATGTGAAGATATTTCCTTCTCCACTATAGGCCTCAAAAGGCTCCAAATATCCACCTACAGATTCTAAAAAAATAGTGTTTCAAAACTGCTGTATCAAAAGAAAGATTCAACTCAGTGAGATTAATGCACAGATCACAAAGAAGTTTCTCAGAATGCTTCTTTGTAGTTTTTATGTGAAGATATTTGTTTTTCCACAGTAGGCCCCAATGAGCTCCAAATATCCACTTTCAGATTCTACAAAAAGAGTGTTTCAAAACTGCTCAATCAACAGAGACATTCAACTCTGTGAGATGAATGCACACATCACAAAGAAGTTTCTCAGAATGCTTCTGTGTAGTTTTTATGTGAAGATATTTGATTTTCCACAGTACGCCTCAAAGCGCTCCAAATATCCACTCGCAGATTCTGCAAAAAGATAGATTCAAAACTGCTGAATCAAAAGATAGGTTCAACAATGTGACTTCAGTGCACACCTCACACAGATGTTTCTCAGAATGCTTCTATGTAGTTTTCATATGAAGATATCTCCATTTCCAAAATAGAACTCAAAGCCCTCCAAATATTCACTTCCAGGTTATATGGAAAGATTGTCTCAAAACTGCTCAGTCAAAATAAAGGTTCAACTCTGTGAGATGAATGCACACATCACAAAGAAGTTTCTCAGACTACTTCTGTGTAGTTTTTATTTGAAGATATTTCGTTTTCCACCATAGGCCACAAAGGTCTTCAAATATCCACATGCTGCTTCTACAAAAAGAGAGATTAAAAACTGCTCAATCAAAAGATAGGTTCAACTCTGTGAGTTGAGTGCACATCTCACAAAGAAGTTCCTCAGAATGCTTCTGTGTAGTTTTTATTTGAAGATATTTTCTTTTCCACCATGGACCACAAAGGGCTCTTAATACCCACTGCAGATTTATACAAAAAAAGAGATTCAAAACGGCTCAATCAAAAGATAGGCTCTCCCCTGTGAGTTGAATGCACACATCACAAAGAAGTTTCTCAGAATGTTTCTGCATAGTTTTTATTTGAAGATATTTCCTTTTCCACCATAGGCCTCAAAGCTCTCCAAATATCCACTTGCTAATTCTTCAAAAAGATCGCTTCAACACTGCTCTATAAAAAGGAAGTTTCAACTCCATTAGTTGACTGCACAAATCACAAAGAAGTTTCTCAGAATGCCTCTGTGTAGTTTTTATGTGAAGATATTTCCTTTTCCAAAATAGGCATCAAAGGCCTCCAAATATCTACTTGCAGAGTCTTCAAAAAGAGTGTTTCAAAAGTGCTCAATCAAAAGAAAAGTTAAACTCCATGGGATGAATGCATACATCACAAAGAAGGTTCTGAGAATGCTTCTGTACTTGTTTTTATGTGAAGACATTTGATTCTCCACTGTAGGCAACAAGGCGCTCCAAATATCCACTTCAGATTCTACGAAAAGAGTGTTTTGAAACTGCTCAATCATAAGATAGGTTCAACCTTGTGAGATGAATGCACACAACACAAAGCAGTTTCTCAGAATGTTTTTGTGTAGTTTTTATTTGAAGATATTTCCTTTTCCACCATAGGCCTCAAAGGGCTCCAAACTTCCACTTGCAGATTCTACAAAAAGAGGGATCCCAAACTGCTCAATCAAAAGAAATGTTCAACACTCTGAGATGAAAGCATACATCAAAAAGAAGTTTCTCAGAATGCTTCTGGGCAGCTTTTATGTGAAGATATTTCCTTTTCCACAAAAGGGCATAAAGGGCTCGAAATATCCACTTTCAGATCCTACAAAATGGGAGTTTCAAAACTGCTTCATCAAAAGATAGCTTCAACTCTGTGAGTTGAAGGCACACATCACAAAGAAGTTTCTCAGAATGCTTCTGTGTAGTTTTTATGTGAAGATATTGCCTTTTCCACAATAGGACTCAAAGCGCTCCAAATATCCACTTGCAGATTCTACAAAAAGAGTGTTTCAAAACTGCTCTATCAAGAGACTGCTTCAACACTGTGAGTTGAATGCAAACATCACAAAAAAGTTTCTCAGAATGCTTCTATGTAGTTTTTATGTGAAGATTTTTTTTTCCACCTTAGGCCAAAAATGGCTTCAGATATCTACTTGAAGATTCTACAAAAAGAGAGTTTCAAAACTGCTGTATCAAAAGATAGGATCAAC
>NT_187450.1:0-31033 GCF_000001405.40 Homo sapiens | reverse complement strand
GAGGATGTGGAGAAATAGGAACACTTTTACACTGTTGGTGGGACTGTAAACTAGTTCAACCATTGTGGAAGTCAGTGTGGCAATTCCTCAGGGATCTAGAACTGGAAATACCATTTGACCCAGCCATCCCCTTACTGGGTATATGCCCAAAGGACTACAAATCATGCTGCTATAAAGACACATGCACACGTATGTTTATTGCGGCATTATTCACAATAGCAAAGACTTGGAACCAAGCCAAATGTCCAACAATGATAGACTGGATTAAGAAAATGTGGCACGTATACACCATGGAATACTATGCAGCCATAAAAAATGATGAGTTCATGTCCTTTGTAGGGACATGGATGAAATTGAAAATCGTCATTCTCAGTAAACTATCACAAGAACAAAAAACCAAACACCGCATATTCTCACTCATAAGTGGGAATTGAACAATGAGAACACATGGACACAGGAAGGGGAACATCACACTCTGGGGACTGTTGTGGGGTGGGGGGAGGGGGGAGGGATAGCATTGGGAGATACACCTAATACTAGATGACGAGTTAGTGGGTGCAGCGCACCAGCATGGCACATGTATATATATGTAACTAACCTGAACGATGTGCACATGTACCCTAAAACTTAAAGTATAATAATAAAAAATAAAAATAAATAAAAATAAACTAGGCAGAAATATTCTGAGAAACAACTTTGTGATGTGTGTGTTCATCTCACAGAGTTGAACATTCCTTTTGATTTAGCAGTTTGCAAACACACTTTTTGTAGAATCTGCAAATTGTCATTTCGAGCGCTTTGCGGCCTTTGGTAAAAAAGGGAATATATTCACATAAAATCTAGACAGAAGTAATCTGAGAAATTTCTTTGTGATATGCACAGTCATCTCACAGACTTCAATATTTCTTTTGATTTAGCAGTTTTCAAACTCTCTTTTTGTAGAATCTGCAAGTGGACATTTGGAGCGCATTGAGGCCAATGGTTGAAATGGAAATATCTTCCCATAAAAACTAGACAGAATAATTCTGAGAAACTTCTTTGTGATGTATGCGTTCATCTCACAGAGTTGAAACTTTCTTTTGAGTGAGCAGTTTGGAAAGACTCTTTTTGTAGAATCTGCAACTGGACATTTGGAGCGCTTTACGGCCTATGACAGAAAATGAAATATCTTCACATAAAATCTAGACAGAAGCAATCTGAGAAACTTCTTTGTGATGTGTACATTCATCTGACAGAATTAAACCGTTGTTTTGATGAAGCAGTTTTGAAACTCTATTTTTGTACCACCTGCAAGAGGACATTTGGAACGCTTTGAGGTCTATGGTGGAAAAGCAAATATCTTCACACAAAATCTAGACAGAGGCAATCTGAAAAACTACTTTGTGATGTGTGCATTCATCCCACAGAGATAAACTTTTCTTTTCATTGAGAAGTTTTGAAAGTCTATTTTTCTAGAATCTGCAAGTGGACATTTGGAGCAATTTGAGGCCTATGGTGGAAAAGGAAATATCTTAACAGAAAAACTAGACAGTAGAATTCCAAGAAACTTCTTTGTGATGTGTGCGTTAATCTCACAGGATTGAACCTTTCTTTTCATTGAGCAGTTTGGAAACACTCTTTTTGTAGAATCTGCAAGTGGACATTTGGAGCGCTTTGTGGCCTATGGTAGAAAAGGAAATATCTTCACATAAAAAACTATACAGAAGCATTCTGAGAAACTTCTTTGTGATGTGTATGTTCATCTCACAGAGTTGAAACTTTCTTTGGATTGAGCAGTTTGGAAACACTGTTTTTGTAGAATCTGCAGTGAGCATTTGGAGCACTTGGTGGCCTATGGTAGAAAAGGAAATACCTTCACATAAAATCTAGACAGAAGCAATCTGAGAAACTTCTTTGTGATGTGTGCATTCATCTCACAGAGTTAACCCTTTGTTTGACTGAGCAGTTTTGAAACTCTCTTTTTGTAGAATCTTCATGTGGACATTTGGAGCGCTTTGAGACCTGTGGTGGAAAAGGAAATATCTTCACATAAACCTAGATGGAAACATTCTGAGAAACTTCTTCGTGATGGGTGCATTCATCTCACAGAGTTGAAACTTTCTTTTGATGGACCAGTTTTGAAATACTCTTTTTGTAGAATCTGCAAGTGGACATTTCGACAGCCATGAGGCCTATGGTGGAGAATGAAATGTCTTCACATAAAAATTAGACAGAAGAATTCCGAGAAACTTCTTTGTGATGTGTGCCTTCATCTCACAGAGTTGAAACGTTCTTTTGATTGAGTAGTTTGGAAACACTCTTTTTGTAGAATCCGCAAGTGGACTTTCGGAATGCTTTATGGCCTATAGTAGAAAAGGAAATATCTTCACATAAAATCTAGGCAGAAGCAATCTGAGAAACTTCTTTGTGATGTGTGCATTCATCTCACAGAGTTAAAGCTGTCTTTTGATTGAGCAGTTTTGAAACTCTCTTTTTGTACAATCTGCAAGTGGACATTTGGAGCACTTTGAGGCCTATGGTGGAAAAGGAAATATCTTCACACAAAAACGAGGCAGAATAATTCTGAGAAACTTCTTCGTGATTTGTGCTTACATCCCACAGAGTTGAACCTTTATTTTGACTCAGCAGTTTGGAAACACTCTTTTTGTAGAATCTGGAAGTGGATATTTGGAGTGCTTTGCAGACTATGGTAGAAAAGGAAATATCTTCACATAAAATCTAGACAGAAACAATCTGAGAAACTACTTTGTGATGTGTGCATTCATCTCACAGAGTTAAAGTTTTGTTTGAGCAGTTTTGAAATCTCTTTTTGTAGAATCTTCAAGTGGACATTTGGAGTGTTTTGAGGCCTATGGTGGAAAAGGAAATATCTTCACATAAAAACCAGACAGAAGAATTCTGAGAAACTTCTTTGTGATGTGTGCATTCATCTCACAGGATTGAACCTTTCTTTTCATTGAGCAGTTTTGAAACACTCTTTTTGTAGAATCTGCAAGTGGACATTTGAAGCGCTTTGCTTCCTCTGGTAGAAAAGAAAATATCTTCACCTTAAATGTAGACATAAGCAATCTGAGAAACTTCTTTGTGATGTGTGCATGCATCTCACAAAATTAATCATATGTTTGCTTAAGCAGTTTTGAATCTCTCTTTTTGTAGATTCTGCAAGTGGACATTTGGAACACTTTGAAGCCTATGGTAGAAACCGAGATACGTTCATATAAAAACTAGACAAAAGAATTCTGAGAATCTACATTGTGATGTGTACGTTCTTCTCACAGAGCTGAACCTTTCTTTTCATTGAGCAGTTTGGAAACACTCTTTTTGCAGAATCTGCAAGTGGGCATTAGGTGCGCTTTGCAGTCTTCAGTAGAAAAGGAAATATCTTAACATAAAATCTAGACAGAAGCAATCTGAGAAACTTCTTTGTGATGTCAGCATTCATCTCACAGAGTTAAAACTTTCTTTTGATTGAGCATTTATGAAACTCTTTTTTTAAAATCTACAAGTGGACATTTGGAGCTCTTTGAGGAATATGGTGGTAAAGGAAATGTCTTCACATAGAAACTAGGCAGAAGAATTCCGAGAAACTTCTTTGTGATGTGTGCGTTCATCTCAAAGAGTTGAAACTTTCTTTTGATTGAACAGTTTGGAAACACTCTTTTTGTAGAATCTGCAAGTGGATATTTGGAAAGCTTTGTGGCCTATGGTAGAAAAGGAAATATCTTCACATAAAATCTAGACAGAAGCAATCTGAGAAACTGCTTTGTGATGTGTGCATTCATCTCACAGGCTGAAACCCTTCTTTTGATAGAATAGTTTTGAAACTCTCTTTTTGTAGAATCTGCAAGTGGACATTTGGAGCGCTTTGAGGCCTATGGTGGAAAAGGAAATATCTTCACATAAAAACTAGAGAGAAGAATTCTGAGAAACTGCTTGTTGATGTGTGCGTTCATCTCACAGATTTGAACCGTTCTTTTGATAGAGCAGTTTGGAATCAATGTTTTTGTAGAATCTGCAAATGGACATTTGGAGCACTTTGCGGTCTATGGTAGAAAAGGTATATCTTCACATAAAATCTAGACAAAAGCAATCTGAGAAACTTCTTCGTGATGTGTGCGTTCATCTTACAGAGTTAAAACTTTCTGTTGATTGAGCAGTATTGAAACTCTCTTTTTGTAGAATCTGCAAGTGGACATTTGGAGCGCTTTGTGGCTGATGCTGGAAAAGGAAATATCCTCACATAAAAACTAGACAGAAGAATTCTGAGAAACTTCTTTGTGATGTGTGCATTCATCTCACAGAGTTGAACCTTCCTTTTTATTGAGCAGTTTGGACACACTCTTTTTGTAGAATCTACAAGTAGAAATTTGGAGAGATTTGCAACTTATGGTAGAAAAGAAAATATCTTCACATAAAATCTAGACAGAAGCAATCTGAGAAACTTCTTTGTGTTGTGTGCATTCATTCACAGAGTTTAACCTTTGTTTTGGTTGAGCAGTTTTTAAAGTCTCTTTTTGTAGAATCTGCAAGTGGACATTTGGAGCTCTTTAACGCCTATTGTGGAAAAGGAAATATCTTCACATAAAAACTAGACAGAAGAATTATGAGAAACTTCTTTGTGATGTGTGCGTTATTCTCACAGAGGTGAACCTTTCTTTTGATTGAGCAATTTTTAAACGCTCTTTTTGTAGTATCTGCAAGTGGACATTTGTAGCACCTTGTGGCCTATGGTAAAAAAGGAAATATCTTCACATAAAATCTATACAGAAGCGATCTGAGAAACTTCTTTGTGATGTGTGCGTTCATCTTACAGAGTTGAACTTTTCTTTTGATTGAACACTTTGGAAACTGTCTTTTTGTAGAATCTGCAAATGGACATTTGGAGTGCTTTCTGGCCTATGGTATAAAAGGAAATATCTTCACATGAAATCTAGACAAAAGCAATCTGAGAAATTTCTTTGGGATGTGTGCATCCATCTCACAGAGTTGAACTTTTCTTTTGATAGAGCAGTTCTGAAACTCTCTTTTTGCAGAATCTGAAAGTGGATATTTGGAGCACTTTGAGGCCTATGGTGGAAAAGGTAATATCTTCAAATAGAAACTACACAGAAGAATTCTGACAAATTACTCTGTGATGTGTGCGTTCATCTCACAGAGTTGAACTTTCTTTCGATTGAGCAGGTTGGAAACATTCTTTTTGTAGAATCTGCATGTGGACATTTGCAGAGTTTTGACTCCTATGGTGGAAAAGGAAATATCTTCACATAAAAACTAGACAGAGGAATTCTGAGAAACTTCTTTGTGTTGTGTGTGTTCATCTCACAGAATTGAAATTTTCTTTTGATTGAGCAGTTTGGAAACACTCTTTTTGTAGAATCTGCAAGTGGATATTTGGAGCGATTTGCAGCCTATTGTAGAAAAGGAAATACCTTCACATAAAATCCAGACAGAAGCAATCTGAGAAACTTCTTTGTGATGTGTGCGTTCATCTCAGAGTTAACACTTTCTTTTGATTGTGCAGTTTTGAAACTCTCTTTTTGTAGAATCTGCAAGTGGACATTTGGAGCTTTTTGAGGCCTTTGGTGGAAAAGGACATATCTTCACATAAAAACTAGACAGAATAATTCTAAGAAACTTTTTTTGATGTGTTATGCCTTTCTCACAAAGATGAACCTTTCTTTTGAATCAGCAGTTTGGAAACACTCTTTTTGTAGAATCTACAAATGACATTTGGATCGCTTTGTGGGCTATTGTAGAAAGGAAGTATCTTCACTTAAAATCTAGACAAAAGCAATCTCAGAAAATTCTTTGTGATGTGTGCATTCATCTCAAAGAGTTAAACCTTTATTTTCATTGAGTAGTTTTGAAACTCTCTTTTGTAGAATCTGCAAGTGGACATTTAGAGTGCTTTGAGGCCTGTAGTGCAAAAGGAAATATCTTCACATAAAAACTACGCAGAAACATTCTGAGAAACTTCTTTGTGATGTGTGCATTCATCTCTCAGAGTTGAATCTTTCTTTTGGTGGAACAGTTTTGAAATACTCTTTTTGTAGAATCTGCAAGTGGACATTGTGAGCACCTTTAGGCCTAAGGTGGAAAAGGAAGTATCTTCATATAAAAACTAGACAGAAGAATTCTGACAAACTTCTTTGTGATGATTGTGTTCATCTCACAGAGTTGAACATTTCTTTTGATGAAGCAGTTTGGAAACACTCTTTTTGTAGTATCTGCAAGTGGACATTTGGAATGCTTTGTGGCCTATGGTAGAAAGGAAATATCATCACATAAAATCTAGACAGAAGCAATCTGAAAGACTTCTTTGTTATGTGTGCATTCATCTCCCAGATTTGAACCATTCTTTTGATGGACCAGTTAGGAAATACACTTTTTGTAGGATATGCAAGTGTACATTTGTAGCGCTTTAAGGCCTATGGTGGAAAAGGAAATATCTTCATATAAAAACTAGTCAGAAGAATTCTGAGACACTTCTTTGTGATGCGTGCATTCAGCTCACAGGGTTGAACCTATCTTATGACTGAGCAGTGTTGAAACACTCTCTTTCTAGAATCTGCAAGTGGATATTTGGAGTGCTTTGAGGCCTACTGTGGGAAAGGAAATATCTTCACATAAAAACTACACAGAAACATTCTGAGAAACTTCTTTGTGATGTGTGGATTAATCTCACAGTGTTCAACATTTATTTTGATTGAGCAGTTTTGAAACACTGTTTTTGTAGAATCTGCAAGTGGATATATGGAGCCCTTGGAGGCCTACGGTGGAAAAGCATATATGTTCACATAAAAACTGCACAGAAGCATATTGAGAAATTTCTTTGTGATGTGTGCATTCATCTCACAGAGTTGAACCTTTCTTTTCATTGAGCAGTTTTGAAACACTCTTTTTGTAGTATCTGCAAGTGGATATTTGGAGCACTTTGAGGCCTATTGTGGAAAAGGAAATATGTTCACATAAAAACTACAGAGAAGCATTCTGAGACACATCTTTGTGATGTTTGCATTCAACTCACAGAGTTGAACCTATCTTTTGATTAAGCAGTTTTGCATCTCTTTTTTTGTAGAATCTGCAAGTGGATAATTGGAGCCCTATGCCACCTACGAAGGAAAAGGAAATACCTTCAAATAAGAACTACACAGAGGTATTCTGAGAAACTTCTTTGTGATGTTTGTTTTCGTCTCACAGAGTTGAACCTATCTTATGATTAAGCAGTTTTGAAACACTCTCTTTGTAGAATCTGCAAGTGGATACTTGGAGTGCTTTGAGGCCTACTATGGCAAAGAAATAGCTTCACATAAAAACTACACAGAAGCATTCTGAGAAACTTCTTTGTGATGTATGCATTCATCACACGAAATTCCAACTTTCTTTTGATTCAGCAGTTTTCAAACACTGTTCTTGTAGAATCTGCAAGTCAGTATTTGCAGGGTTTTGAGGCTCACTGCGGAAAAGCAAGTATCTTCACATAAAAACTACACAGAAGCATTCTGAAAAACTTCTTTGTGATGTGTGCATTCATCTCACAGGGTTGAACCTATCTTATGATTGAGCAGTTTTGAAACACTCTCTTTCTAGTATCTGCAAGTGGATATTTGGAGTGCTTTGAGGCTTATTGTGGAAAAGGAAATATCTTCACATAAATACTATACAGAAGCATTCTGAGAAACTTATTATTGATGTGTGTATTCAACTCAGAGTGTTGAACCTCTCTTTTCATTGAGCAGTTTTGAATCTGTCTTTTTGTAGAATCTGCAAGTGGACATTTGGAGCCCTTTCTGACATATGGAGGAAAAGGAAATATCTTCCAATAAAAACTACACAGAAGCATTCTCAGAAACTTCTGTGTGACGTGTACATTCATCTCAGAAATTTGAACCTTTCTTTTGATTGAGCAGTTTTTAAACACTCTTTTTTTAGAAATTGCAAGTAGATATTTGGAGCGCTTTGAGACCTATTATGGTAAAGGAAATATCTTCCAATAAAAACTACACAGAAGCATTCTGAGAAACTTCTTTGCGATGTGTGCATTCAACACACAGAGTTGAACCCGTCTTCTGATTGAGCAGTTTTGAATCTCACTTTTTGTAGAATGTGCAAGTGGATATTTGGAGCCCTTTGCGGCATATGGTAGAAAAGGAAATATCTTCACATAACAACTACTCAGAAGTATTCTGATAAACTTCTTTGTGATGAGTGCATTCAACTCATAGAGTTGAACATATCTTTTTATTGAGCAGTTTTGAATCTCTCTTTTGTAGAATCTTCAAGTGGATATTTGGAGCTCTTTAAGACCTACGTTGGAAAAGGAAATATCTTCAAATATAAACTACGCAGAATCATTCTGAGAAAATTCTTTGTGATGTATGCATTCATCTCACAGAATTGAACCTTTCTTTTGATTGAACAGTTTTGAAACACTCTTTTTGTAGAATCTACACGTGGATACTTGAGCGCTTTGAGGCCTATAGTGGAAAAGGAAACATCTTCACATAAAAACTACACAGAAGCATTCTGAGAAACATCTTTGTGATGTGTGCATTCAACTCACATTGTTGAACTAATCTTTTGATTGAGCAGTTTTGAATCTCTCTTTTTGTAGAATCAGCAATTGGATATTTGGAGCCCTTTGCATCCTATGGAGGAAAAGGAAATATCTTCACATGAAAACTACACAGAAACATTCTGAGAAACTTCTTTGTGATGCGTGCATTCATCTCACAGAGTTGAACCTAACGTATATTTCAGCAGTTCTAAAACACTGTTTTTGTAGAATCTGCAAGGGGATATTTGGAGCGCTTTGAGGCCTACTGTGGAAAATCAAATATCTTCACATAAAAACTACACAGAATCATTCTGAGAAACTTCGTTGTGCTGTATGCATTCATCTCACAGAGTTGAACCTATCTTATGATTGAGCAGTTTTGAAAAACTCTCTTTGTAAAATCTGCAAGTGTATACTTGGAGAGCTTGGAGGCCTATTGTGGCAAAGAAATGTCTTCACATAGAAATTACACAGAAGCATTCACAGAAACTTCTTTGTGATGTGTGCATTCATCTCAGAGAGTTGAAACTTTCTTTTGATTGAGCACTTTTGAAACCCTGTTTTTGTAGTATCTGCAATGGAAATTTGGAGCGCTTTGAGTCCTACTGTGGAAAAGCAAATATCTTTACATAAAAACTACACAGAAGCATTCTGAGATACTTCTTTGTGATGTCTGCATTCATCTCACAGAGTTGAAACTTTATTTTGATTGAGCAGTTTTGAAACACTCTTTTTGTATAATATGAAAGTAGATATTTGCAGTGTTTTGAGTCCTATTGTTGAAAAGGAAATATCTTAACAAAAAAAATACACAGAAGCTTCCTGAGAAACTACTTTGTGATGTGTGCATTCAACTCACAGAGTTGAACCTATCTTTTGATTGTGAAGTTTTTAATCTCTCTTCTTGTAGAATCTGGAAGTGGATATTTGGAGCCCTTTGTGGCCTATGGAGGTAAAGGAAATATCTTCAAATAAAAACTACACAGAAGCATTCTGAGAAACTTATTTGTGATGTGTGCATTCATCTCACACAGATGAATCTATCTTATTATTGAGCAGTTTTGAAACACTCTCTTTGCAGAAACTTCAGGTGGATATTTTGAGCGCGTTGTGACTTATTGTGTAAAAGGAAATATCTTCACATAAAAACTACTAGAAGCATTCTGAGAAACTACTTTGTGATGTGGGTATTCATTGAGCAGAGTTGAACCTTCCTTTTGATTGAGCAGTTTTGAAACACTGTTTGTATAGAATCTGTATAGGCCGCTTTGAGGTCAACTGTGGAAAAGCAAATATCTTCATGTAAAAACTACATAGACGCATTCTGAGAAACTTCTTTGTGATGTGTGCATTCATCCCACAGAGTTGAAAGTTTGTTTTGATTGAGCAGTTTTGAATCTCTCTTTTTGTAGAGTCTGCAACTGGATATTTGGAGCCCTTTTAGGCCTATTATGGAAAAGGACATATCTTTACATAAAAACTACACAGAAGCATTCAAAGAAACTCGTTTGTGATGTGTGCATTCAAATCACTGAGTTGAACCTATCTTTTGATTGAGCAGTTTTGAATTTCTCTTTTTGTATAATCTGCAAGTGGATATTTGAAGCTCTTTGCGGCCTACAGAGGAAAAGGAAATATCTTCAAATAAATACTACACAGAAGAATTCTAAGAAACTTCTCTGTGATGTGTGCATTCATCTCATAGATTTGAACCTATCTTATGATTGAGCAGTTTTGAAACACTCTCTTTGTAGAATCTGAAAGTTGATAATTGGAGGGCTTTCAGGCCTGTTTTGGAAAAGGAAATATCTTCACATAAAAACTACACAGAAGAATTCTGTGAAACTTCTTTGTGATGTGTGCATTCATCTCACAGAGTTGCACCTTTCTTTTGATTGTGCACTTTTGAAACACTTTTTTTGTAGAATCTGCAAGTGGATATTTGGAGCCCTTTGTGGCCTACATTGGAAAAGGAAATATCTCCAAATAGAAACTACGCAGAAGCATTTTGAGAAACTTCTGTGTGAAGTGTGCATTCATCTCACAGAGTTGAACTTTCGTTTTGATTGAGAAGTTTTGAAAACTCTTTTTGTAGAATCTGCAAGTGGATATTTGGAGTGCTTTGAGGCCTATTGTGGAAAATGAAATATCTTCACATAAAAACTACACAGAAGCATTCTGAGAAACTTCTTTGTGATGTGTGCATTCAACTCGCAGACTTGAACCTATCTTTTGATTGAGCAGCTTTGAATCTCTGTTTTTCTAGAATCTGCAAGTGGATATTTGGAGCACTTTGTGGCCTATGGACGATAAGGAAATATCTTCTAGTAAACACTACAGAGACGCATACTGAGAAACTTCTTCGTGATGTGTGCCTTCATATCACAGAGTTGAACCTATCTTATGATTGAGCAGATTTGAAACATTCGCTTTGTAGAATCTGCAAGTGGATATTTGGAGTGCTTTGAGGCCTCCGGTGGAAAGGCAAATGTCTTCACATTAAAATTATATGGAAGTATTCTGAGAAACTTCTTCATGATGTGTGCATTCATCTCACAGAGTTGATACTTTCCTTTGATTGGACAGTTTTGAAACACTGTTTTCGTAAAACCTACAAGTGGATATTGGAGCACTTTGAGGCCTACTATGGAAAAGCAAATATCTTCACATAAAAACTACACAGAAGCATTCTGAGTAATTTCTTTGTGATGTGTGCATTCATCTAAAAGAGTTGAAATTTCCGTTGAATGAGCAGTTTTGCAACCCTCTTTTTGTAGAATCTGCAAGTGGATATTTGGAAAGCTTTGAGGTCTATTGTGGAAAACGAAATATCTACACATAAAAACTACACAGAAGCATTCTGAGAAACTACTTTGTGATGTGTGCATTAGACTCACAGAGGTGAACTTATCTTTTGATTGAGCAGTTTTGAATCTCTCTTTTTGTAGAAGCTGCAAGTGGATATTTGGAGCCCTTTGCAGCCCATGGAGGAAAAGGAAATACCTTCAATTAAAAACTACACAGAAGCATTCTGAGAAACTTCTTTGTGATGCGTGCATTCATCTCACAGAGTTGAACCTTTCTTTTGATTCAGCAGTTTTGAAACACTGTTTTTATTGAATCTGCAAGTGGATATTTGGAGTGCTTTGAGGCCATCTGTGGAAAAGCAAGTATCTTCGGATAAAAACTACACAGAATCCTTCTGATAAATATCTTTGTGATGTGTGCATTCATCTCGCAGAGTTGAACCTATCTTATGATTGATCAGTTCTGAAACATTCTTTTTGTAGAATCTGAAAGTGGATAATTGGAGCGCTTTCAAGCCTATTGTGGAAAAGGAAATATCTTAACATAAAAACTACACAGAAGCATTCTGAGAAACTTCTTTGGGATGTGTGCATTCATCTCACAGAATTGAACCTATCTTATGATTTAGCTGTTTTGAAACACTCCCTTTGTAGAATCTGCAAGTGGGTATTTGGAGCGTTTTGAGGCTTTTTGTGGAAAAGGATATATCTTCACATAAAAACTACACAGAAGCATACTGAGAAACTTCTTTGTGATGAGTGCATTCGTCTCACAGATTTCAACATACCTTCTGATTGAGCAGTTTTGAATCTCTCTTTCTGTAAAATCTGCAAGTGGATATTTTGAGCCCTTTGTGGCCTATGGTGGAAAAGGAAATATCTTCACATAAAAACTTCACAGAAGCATTCTGAGAAACATCTTTGTGATGAGTGCATTCATCAAACAGAGTTGAACACTTCTTTTGATTGAGCAGTTTCGAAACAGTCTTGTTGAAGAATCTGCAAGTGCATATTTGGAGCACTTTGGGGTCTACTTTGGAAAAGCAAATATCTTCACATAAAAAATACACAGAAGCCTTCTGAGAAACTTCTTAGTGATGTGGGCATTCATCTCACAGAGTTGAACTTTTCTTTTGACAGTGCAGTTTTGAAAAACTCTTTTTGTAGAATCTGCAAGTGGATATATGGAGCGCTTTGATGCCATTGTGGAAAAGGAAATATCTTCACATAAAAACTATGCAAAAGCATTCTGAGAAAGTTCTTTGTGATGTGTGCATTCATCTTATGGAGTTGAACCTATCCTTTGATTGGGCAGTTTTGAATCTCTCTGTTTCTAGAATCTGCAAGTGGATATCTGGAGCCCTTTGCAGCCTAGCGTGGAAAAGGAAATATCTTCAAATAAAAACTACACAGAAGCATTCTGAGAAACTTGTTTGTGATGTATGCATTCATTTCATAGAATTTATCCTATCTTATGACCGAGCAGTTTTGAAACACTCTTTTTGTTGAATCTGCAAGTGGATATTTGGAGCACTTTGAAGCCCATTGTGTAAAGGGAAATATCTTCACATAAAAACTACACAGAAGCATTCTGAGAAACTTCTTTGTGATGTGTGCATTCATCTCACAGAGTTGAACCTATCTTATGATTTAGCAGTTTGGAAACACTCTCTTTGTAGAATCTGCAATTGGATATTTGGAGTATTTTGAGGCCTACTGTGGAAAAGCAAATATCTTCACGTAAAAACTACAAAGAAGCATTCTGAGAATCTTCTTTTCGATGTGTGCATTCATCTCACAGAGTTGAACCTTTCTTTTGATTGAGCAGTTTTGCAACACACTTTTTGTAGAATCTGCAAGTGGATATGTGGAGGCCTTTGAGGTCTCCTGTGTAAAAGGAAATATCTTCACATAAGAACTACACAGAAGCATTCTGAGAAACGTATTTGTGATGTGTGCATTCAACTCACAGAGTTGAACCTGTTTTTTGATTGAGGAGTTTTGAATTTCTCTTTTTGCAGAATCTGCAAGTGGATATTTGGAGCCCTTTGCTGCCTATTTTGGAAAAGGAAATATCTTCAAATAAAAACTACACAGAAACATTCTGAGAAACATCTTTGTTATGTCAGCATTCATCTCACAGAGTTGAACCTATCTTATGATTGAGCAGTTTTGAAACTCTGTTTTTGTAGAATCAGCACATGGATATTTTGAGCGCTTTGTGGCCTATTGTGGAAAAGGAAATATCTTCACATAAAAATTACACAGAAGCATTCTGAGAAACTCCTTTGTGATGTGTACATTCATCTCAAATAGTTGAACATTTCTTTCAATTTAGCAGTTATGAAACACTGTTTTTGTAGAATCTGCAAGTGGATATTTTGAGCGCTTGGAGGTCTACTGTGGAAAAACAAGTATCTTCATATAAAAACTACACAGAAGCATTCTGAGAAACTGCTTTGTGATGTGTGAATTCATCTCACAGAATTGAACCTTTCTTTTGATTGAGCAGCTTTGGAACATTCTTTTTGTAGAATCTGCAAGTGGATATTTGCGGTGCTTTGAGGACTATTTAGGAAAAGAAAATATCTTCACATAAAAACTACACAGAAGCATTCTGAGAAACTTCTAGGCGATGTTTGCATTCATCTCACAGAGTTGAACCTTTCTTTTGACTGAGCAGTTTGGAAACACTCTTTTTGTAGAATCTGCTAGTGGATATTTAGAGAGTTTGGGTCCTATGGTGGAAAAGGAAATATCTTCCAAAGAAAACTACACAGAAGCATTCTGAGAAAATTCTTTGTGCTGTGTGCATTCAACTAGGAGAGTTGAACCTATCTTTTGATTGTGCAGTTTTCAATCTCTCTTATTGTAGAATCTGCAAGTGGATATTTGGAGCCCTTTGCAGCCTGTGGTGGAAAAGGAAATAATTTCACATAAAAACTGCACAGAAGAATTCTGAGAAACTTCTTTGTGATGAGTGCATTCATTTCACAGAGTTGAACGTTTATTTTGATTGAGCTGTTTTGAAACACTGCTTTTGAAGAATCTGCAAGTGGATATTTGGAGCGGTTTGAGGGCTACTGTGGAAAAGCAATATCTTCACATGAAAACTACACAGAAGCATTCTGAGAAACTTCTTTGTGATGTGTGCATTCATCTCACAGAGTTGAGCCTTTCTTTTGATGGAGCAGTTTTGAATCTCTCTTTTTGTAGAATCTGCAGGTGGATATTTTGAGCCCTTTGCAGCCTATGCAGTAAAAGGAAACATCTAAAAATAAAAACAACACAGATGCATTCTGAGAAACTTCTTTGTTATTTGTGCATTCATCTCACTGTGTGGAACCTATCTTATGATTGAGCAGTTTTGAAACACTCTCTTTGTAGAATCTGCAAGTGGATATTTGGAGCACTTTGAGGTTTATTGTGGAAAAGGAAATATCTTCATATAAAAACTACACAGAAGCATTCTCAGAAACTTCTTTGTGATGTGTGCATTCATCTCACAGAGTTGAACTTTTGTTTGATTGAGCACTTTTGAAACACTATTTTTGTAGAATCTGCAACTGGATATTTGGAGTGCTTTGAGGCCTACTGCGGAAAAGCAAATATCTTCAAATAAAAACTACACAGAGGCATTCTGAGAAACTTCTTTGTGATGGGCGCATTCATCTCAAAGAGTTGAACCTTTCCTTTGATTGAGAAGTTTTGAAACACTCTTTTTGTGTATCTACAAGTGGATATTTGGAGCTCTTTGAGGCCTATTGTGGAAAAGTAAATATCTTCACATAAAAAATACACAGAAGCATTCTGAGAAACTACTTTGTGATGTGTGCATTCAACTCACAAGGTTGAACCTATCTTTTGATTGAGCAGTTTTGAATCTCTCTGTTTGTAGAATCTGCAAGTGGATATATGTAGCCCTTCGCAGCCTATAGAGGAAAAGGAAATATCTTCCAATAAAAACTGCACAGAAGCTTTCTGACAGAAGCATTCTGAGACACATCTTTAAGATATGTGCATTCAACTCACGTAGTTAAATCTATCTTTTGATTGAGCAGTTTTGAATCTCTCTTTTTGAAGAATCTACAAGTGGATATTTGGAGCCCTTTACAGCATAAGGTGGAAAAGGAAATATCTTCAAGTAAAAACTACATAGAAGCATTCTGAGAAACTTCTTTTTGATGTGTGCATTCATCTTACAGAGTTGAACCTATCTTATGATTGAGCACTTTTGAAACAATCTTTTTATAAAATCTGCAAGTGGAAATTTGGAGCACTTTGAGGACTATTGTGGAAAAGCATGTATCTTCACATAAAAACTGCACAGAAGCATTCTGAGAAACTTCTTTGTGATGAGTGCATTAATCACACAGAGCTGAACCTATCTTTTGATTGAGCAGTTTTGAATCTCTCTTTTTGTAGAATCTGCAAGTGGATATTAGGAGCCCTTTGTGGCCTCTTGTGATAAAGGAAATATCTTCCCAAAAAAACTACACAGAAGCATTCTGAGAAACTACTTTGTGATGAGTCCATTCACCACACAGAGTTGAAAATTTCTTTGACTGAACAGTTATGAAACACACTTTTTGTAGAGTCTGCAAGTGGATATCTGGAGGGCTTTGAGGCCTATTTTGGAACAGGAATTATCTTCCCATAAAAACTACACAGAAGCATTCTGAGAAACTTCTTTGTGATGTGTGCCTTCATCTCACAGAGATGAACCTAGTTTTTCATTAAGCGGTTTTGAAACACTGTTTTTGCGAGTCTATAAGTTGATATTTGGAGCACTTTGAGGCCGACAGTGGAAAAGTAAATATCTTCACATAAAAACTACACATAAACAATCTAAGAAACTTCTTTGTGATGTGGGCATTCACCTCACAGAGTTGAAACTTTCTTTTGATTGAGCAGTTTTAAAACACTATTTTTGTAGAATCTGCAAGTGGATATTTTTAGTGCTTTGAGGCGTATTGTGTAAAAGGAAATATCTTCACATAAAAACTACACAGAAGTATTCTGAGAAACTTCATTGTTATGTGTGCATTTAACTCACAGTTTTGAATCTATCTTTTGATTGAGCACTTTTGAATCTCTTTTTTTGTAGAATCTGAAAGTGGATACTTGGAGACCTTGGCGGCCTATGGTGGAAAAGGAAACATCTTCACATAAAAACTACACAGAAGCATTCTGAGAAACTTCTTTGTGATGTGTACTTTTATCTCACAGAGCTGAACTTTTCTTTTGATTCAGCAGTTTGGACACACTCTTTTTGTATAATCTTCAACTGGATATTTGGAGCCCTTTGAGGCCTATCATGTAAAGGGAAACATCTTCACATAAAAACTACACAGAACCATTCTGAGAAACTTCCTTGTGATGTGTGCATTCATCTCACAGGGTTGAACCTTTCTTTTCATTGAACAGTTTGGAAACACACTTTTTGTAGAATCTTCAGGTGGATAATTTGATCACTTTGAGGCCTATGTTGGAAAAGGAAATACCTTCACATAAAAACTACACAGAAGCATTTTCAGAAACTTTTTTCTGATGTGTGCATTCAACTCACAGGGTTGAACCTATCTCTTGATTGAGCAGTTTTGAAACTCTCTTTTTGTAGAATCTGGAAGTGGATATTTGGAGTTGTGAAAAAGGAAATATCTTCACATAAAAACTACACAGAAGCATTCACAGAAACTACTTTGTGATGAGTGCATACATCACAAAGAGTTGAAATTTTCCTTCGATTGAGCAGCTTTGAAACACTCTTTTGTAGAATCCGGAAGTGCATATTTACAGGACTTTGAGGCCTATTTGAGAAAGGAAATATCTTTACATAAAAACTACACAGAAGCATTCTGGGAAACTTCTTTGTGATGTGTGCATTCAACTCACATAGTTGAACCTATCTTTTCATTGAGAAGTTTTGAAACTCTCCTTTTGTAAAATCTGCAGGTGGATATTTGGACCACGTAGCAGCCTATGGTGGAAAAGGAAATATCTTCACGTAAAAACTACACAGTAGCATTCTGAGAAACTTCTTTGTGATATGTGCATTCATCACACGGAGTTGAAGCATTCTTTTGATTAAGCAGTTTTGAAATACTCTTTTTGCAGAATCTTCAAGTGGATATTTGGAGCGCCTTGAGGGCTATTCTGGAAAAGGAAATATCTTCACAGAAAAACTACACAGAAGGATTCTGAGAAACTTTTTTGTGATGTGTGCATACATCTCACAGAGTTGAAACTTTCTTTTGATTGAGCAGTTTTAAAACCCTCTTTTTGTAGAATCTTCAAGTGGATATTTGGGGGGCTTTGAGGCCTATTGTGGAAAAGGAAATATCTTCACACAAAAAATACACAGAAGCATTCTGAGAAACTACTTTGTGTTATGTGCATTCATCTCACAGAGTTGAAACTTGCTTTTGATTGAGCAGTTTGGAAACACTCTTTTTGTAGAATCTACAAGTGGATATTTGGTGCGCTTCGAGGCCTACTGTGGAAAAGCATGTATCTTCACATAAAAACTGCACAGAAGCATTCTGAGAAACTTCTTTGTGATGTGTGCATTCAACTCACACAGTTGAACCTATCTTTTGATTGAGCAGTTTTGAATCTCTCTTTTTGTAGAATCTGCAAGTGGATATTAGGAGCCCTTTAAGGTCTTTTGTGGAAAAGGAAGTATCTTCATCAAAAACTACACAGAATCATTCTGAGATACTTTATTTTGACTTGTGCATTCATCTCACAGAGTTGAACCTTTCTTTTGATTCAGCAGTTTTATAACATGCTTTTAGTAGAATATGCAATGGATATTTGGGGTGCTTTGAGGCCTATTGTGGAAAACGAATTATCTTCACATGAAAACTACACAGAAGCATTCTGAGAAACTTCTTTGTGATGTGGGCATTCATCTCAGAGTTGAACTTTTGCTTTGATTGAGCAGTTTTGAAAAACACTTTTTGTAGAATCTGCAAGTAGATATTTGGAGCGCTTTGAGGCCTATTGCGGAAAAGGAACTATCTTCACATAAAAATTACACATAAACATTCTGAGAAACTTCTTTGTGATGTGTGCATTCCTCCCACTGAGTTGAACCGTTCTTTTCATTGAGCAGTTTTGTAACAATCTTTTTGTAGAATCTGCAAGTGGATAATTGGAACGCTTTGAGGCCTTTTGTGGAAAAGAAAATATCTACACATAGAAACTACACAGTAGAATTCTGAGAAACTTCTTTGTGATGTGTGCATTCAACTCACAGAGTTGTATCTTTCTTTTCATTGACCAGTTTGGAAACATTCTTTTTGTAGAATCTCCATGTGGATATTTGGAGCCTTTTGCAGCCTACAGTGGAAAAGGAAATATCTTCACATAAAAACTACACAGAAGCATTCAGAGAAACTTCTTTGTGATGTGTGCATTCATCTGACAGAGTTGAAGCATTCTTTTGTTTAAGCAGTTTTGAAATACTCTTTTTGTAGAATCTTCTAGTGGATATTTGGAGCGTTTGACAGCTATTGTGTAAAAGGAAGTATCTTCACATAAAAACTACACAGGAACAGTCTGAGATACTTTTTGTGATGTGTGAATTCATTTCACAGAGGTGAACCTTTCTTTTGATTGTGCAGTTTTGAAATACTCTTTTAGTGCGATCTGCAGGTAGATATTTGCAGCTCTGTAAGGTGTACTGAGGAAAAGGTAATTTCTGCACATAAAAAATACACAGAAGCATTCTTAGAAACTTATTTGTGATGTGTGCATTCAACTCTCGGAGTTGAACCTATCTTTTGATAAGCAGTTTTGAATTTCTCTTTTCTTGGAATCTCCAGGTGGATATTTGGAGCGCTTTGAGGCCTATGGTGTAAAAGGAAATATCTTCACATAAAAACTACACAGAAGCGTTCTGAGAAACTACTTTGTGATGTATGCATTCAACTCACAGAGTCGAACCTACCTTTTGATTAAGCAGTTTTGAATATCTCTTTTTGTAGAACCTGGAAGTGGATATTTAAAGACATTTGCGGCTTGTGGTGGAAAAGGAAATATCTTCACATAAAAACTATGGAGAATCATTCTGTGAAACTTATTTGCATTGTGTTTACTCACCTCATGGAGTTGAAGTTTTCTTTTGATTGAGCAGTTTGGAAACACTCTTTTTGTAGAATCTGCAAGTGAATAGTTGGAGTGCTTTTAGGCCTACGGTTGAAAAGGAAATATCTTCACATAAAAACTACTCGGAAGCATTCTGAGAAACTTCTTTGTGATGTGTGCATTCACCTCACAGGGTTGAAACATTCTTTTGATTGAGCAGTTTTGAAACACTCTTTTTCTAGAATGTGCAAGTGTATATTTGCAGGGCTTTGTTGACTATTGTGGAAAGGGAAGTATGTTCACATAAAAATTACACAGAAGCATTCTGAGAAATTTCTTGTGATGTGTGCATTCACCTCACAAAGTTGAAACTTTCTTTTGATTGAGCATTTTTGAAACACTCTTCTAGTACAATCTGAAAGTGGATATTTGGAGCCCTGTGAGGTCTATTGTGGAAAAGGAAATATCTTCACATAAAAAGTAATCAGAAGCATTCTGAGAAACTTCTTTGTGATGTATGCATTCATCTCACAGAATTGAACCCTTCTTTTCATTAGCACTTTGGAAACTCTCTTTTTGTAGTGACTAGAAGTGGACATTTGGAGCTCTTTGAGGCCTATTGTGGAAAATGAAATATCTTCACATAAAAACTATACAGAAGCATTCTTAGAAAGTTCTTTGTGATGTATGCTTTCAACTCAAAGAATTGAAACTTTTTTTGATTGAGCAGTTTTGAAACACTCTTTTTGTAGAATCTGCAAGTGGATATTAGGGGTGCTTTGAGGCCTATTGTGGAAAAGGAAATATCTTCACATAAAAACTACACAGAATCATTCTGTGAAACTTCTTTGCGAGGTGTTTACTCATCCCACAGAGTTGAAGTTTTCTTTTGAATGAGCAGTTTGGAAACACTCTTTTTGTAGAATCTGCAAGTGGATAGTTGGAGCGATTTGAGGTCTATGGTGTAAAAGGAAATATCTTCACATAAAAACTACACGGAAGCATTCTGAGAAACTTCTTGGTGATGTTGCATTCATCTCACAGAGTAGAACATTTCTTTTGATTGAGCACTTTTGAAACACACTTTTTGTAGAATCTGCAAGTGGATATTTGGAAAGCTTTGAGGACTATTGTGGAAAAGGAAGTATCTTCACAGGAAAAGTACACAGAATCATTCTGGGAAATGTCTTGTGACGTGTGCATTCATCTCACAGAGCGCTTTGAGGCCCATTGTGGAAAAGGAAATATCTTCATATGAAAACTACACAGAAGCATTCTGAGAAACTTCTTTGTGATTTTTGCATTCATCTCACAGTGTTTTACCATTCTTTTGATTGAGCAGTTTGAAAACACTCTTTAGTAGAATCTAAAAGTGGATATTTAGAGCGCTTTGAGGACTATTGTGGAAATTGAAATATCTTCACATAAAAACTACACAGAAGCATTCTGAGAAACTTCTTTGTGATGTGTGCATTCAACTCACAGAGTTGTACCTATCTATTGGTAGAGGATTTTAGAAACTCTCTTTTTGGAGAATCTGCAGGTGAATATTTGGAGCCCTTTGTGGCCTACTGTGTAAAAGGAAATACCTTCACATAAAAACTACACAGAAAAACTCTGAGAAACTTCTTTGTGATGTGCACATTCATCTCACAGAGTTGAACCTTTCTTTAGACTGAACAGTTTGGAAACTCTCTTTTAATAGAATAAGCAAGTGGATATTTGAAACACTTTGAGGCCTACTGTGGAAAAGAAAATATCTTCACATAAAAATGACACAGAAGCATTCTGATAAACTACTTTGTGATGAGTGCATTAATCTCACGAAGTTGAACCTTTCTTTTCTTTGAGCAGTTTGGAAACAATCTTTACAGAATCTGCAGGTGGATATTTGGAGTGCTTTGAGGCAAATTGTGGAAAAGGAAATATCTTCACATAAAAACTGCACATAAGCATTCTGAGAAACTCCTTTATGATGTGTGCATTCAACTCACAGACTTGAACCTTTCTTTTGATTGAACAGTTTTGAAACACTCTTTTTGTAGAATCTGCAAGTGTATATTTGTAGCCCTTTGAGGCCTACTGTGGAAAAGGAAATATCTTCACATAAAAACTACACAGAAGCATTCTGAGAAACTTCTTTGCTATGCGTGCATTCCCCTCAAAGAGTTGAACCTCTCTTTTGATTGAGCACTTTTGAAACGCCCTTTTTGTAGAATCTGCAAGGGGATATTTGGAGTCCTTTAAGGCCTATTTTGGAAAAGGAAATATCTTCACATAAAAACTACACAAAAGTATTGTGAGAAACTTCTTCATGATGTGTGAATTCGTCTCATAGAGTTGAACCTTTCTTTTCATTGATCAGTTTGGAAACACTCTTTTTGTAACATCTGCAGGTGGATGTTTGGAGCACTTTGTGGTGAATGGTGTAAAAGGAAATATCTTTACAAAAAGTACGCAGAAGCATTCTGAGACACTCTTTGAGATGTGTGCATTCAAGTCACCGGGTTGAGCCTATCTTTTTATAGAGCAGTTTTGAAACTCTGTCTTTGCAGATTCTGTAAGTGGATATTTGGTGCGTTGTGTGGCCCAAGTGTGAAAAAGACAATATCTTCACATAAAAACCACACAAAATAATCTGAGAAACTTCTTTGTGTTGTGTGCATTCATCTCACAAAGCTGAACCTTTCTTTTGATTGAGCAGTTTTGAAACACTCGTTTTGTAGAATGTGCAAGTCAATGTTTCGAGCACTTTGAGGCCTATTGTGGAAAAGGAAATATCTTCACATAAAAACTACAAAGAAGCATTGTGAGAAACTACTTTGTGACGTGTGCATTCATCACACAGAGTTGAACCTTTCTTTTTATTGAGCAGTTTGGAAACATTCTTTTTGTAGAATCTCCAAGGGGATATTTTTAGCGCTTTGAGATCTTTGGTGGAAAAGGAAATATCTTCACATAGAAACTACACAGAAGCATTCTGAGAAACTTATTTGGGATGTGTGCATTCATCTCACCGAGTTGAATCTATCCTTTGATTGAGCAGTTTTTAATCACTCTTTTTGTAGAATCTGCAAGTGGATATTTGGAGCACATTTAGACCTATGGTGGAAAAGGAAATATCCTCACATAAAAACTATGAAGAAGCATTCTGAGAAACGTCTTTGTAATGTGTACATTCATCTCACAGAGTTGAACCTTTCTTTTGATTGAGCAGTTTTGAAACCGTCTTTTTGTAGAATCTGCAAGTGGATATTTAGAGTGCTTTGTGGCCTGTTGTGGAAAAGAAAATATCTTCACATAAAAACTAGACAGAAGCATTCTGAGAAACTTCTTTGTGATGTGTGCATTCATCTCAGAGAGTTGATCCTTTCTTTTGATTGACCAGTTTGGACACACTCTTTTGTAGAATCTACAAGTGGATATTTGGAGCGCTTTGAGGCCTATGGTGGAAAAGGAAATATCTTCACATAAAAACTACACAGAAGCATTCTCAGAAACTTTTTTGTGATGTCTGCATTAGACTCACACAGCTGAACCTATCTTTTGATTGAGAAGTTTTGATTCTCTCTTTTTGTAAAATCTGCAAGTGGATATTTGCAGAACTTTCTGGCCTATTTTGGAAAAGGAAATATCTTCACATAAAAAATAGAAGCATGCTGAGAAACTTCTTTGTGATGTGTGTGTTCATCTCAAAAAGTTGAACATTTCTTTTGATTGAGCAGTTATTATTATTATTATATACTTTAAGTTTTAGGGTACATGTGCACATTGTGCAGGTTAGTTACATATGTATACATGTGCCATGCTGGTGTGCTGCACCCACTAACTTGTCATCTAGCATTAGGTATATATCCCAATGCTATCCCTCCCCCCTCCTCCCACCCCACAACAGTCCCCAGAGTGTGATGTTCCCCTTCCTGTGTCCATGTGATCTCATTGTTCAATTCCCACCTATGAGTGAGAATATGCGGTGTTTGGTTTTTTGTTCTTGCGATAGTTTACTGAGAATGATGACTTCCAATTTCATCCATGTCCCTAAAAAGGTTATGAACTCATCACTTTTTATGGCTTCATAGTATTCCATGGTGTATATAGACTGGATTAAGAAGATTGAGCAGTTTTTAAAGCATCTTTTTGTAGTATCTGCAAGGGGATATTTGGAGCGTTTTGGGGCCTATTGTGGAAAAGGAACTATCTTCACATAAAAACTAGACAGAAGCATTCTGAGAAATTTTTGGCAATCTGTGCATTCAACTCACAGATTTGAACCTTTCTTTTGATTGAACAGTTTTGAAACACTCTTTTTGTAGTATCTGTAAATGGATATTTGAAGCGGTTTGAGGTCTATCGTGGAAAAGGAAATATCTTCACATATAAACTAGACAGAAGCATTCTGAGAAACTTCTCTGTGATAAGTGCCTTCATCTCACAGAGTTGAACCTTTCTTTTGATTGAGCAGTTTTGAAACACTCTTTTTGTTGTATATGCAAGTGGGTTTTTGGAGCGATTTGTGGTCTCTGGTGGAAAAGGAAATATCTTCACATAAAAACTAGACAGAAGCACTCTGAGAAACTTCTTTGTGATGTGTGCATTCATCTCACAGTGTTGAAACTTTCTTTTGATTGAGGGTTTTGAAACAGTCTTTTTGATGAATCTGCAAGTGGATATTTGGAGCGAATTGTGGCCTATGGTGTAAAAGGAAATATCTTCACATAAAAACTAGACAGAAGCCTTCTGAGAAACTTCTTTGTGATGTGTGCGTTCATCTCACCAGGTTGAATCTTTCCTTTCATCGAGCAGTATTGAAACACCCTTTTTGTAGAATCTGAAAGTAGATATTTGGAGCGATTGTGTCCTATGGTAGTAAAGGCAATATTTTCACAGAAAAACTAGACAGAAGCATTCTGCGAAACTTCCTCATGATGTGTTCATTTATCTCACCAAATTGAACCATTCTTTTCACTGAGCAGATTTGATACACTCTTTTTGTAGAATGTGCAAGTGAATATTTGGAACGCTTTGATGAGTATGATGGAAAAGGAAATACCTTCACATATAAACTAGATAGAAGCATTCTGAGAAACTTTTCTCTGATATGTGCATTCAACTCACAGAGTTGAACCTTTCTTTTGATTCAGCAGTTTTGAAACATGCTTTTTGAAGAATCTATAAGTGGATATTTGGAGTGCTTAGGGGCCGATGGCGGAAAAGGAAATATCTCCACATAAAAACTAGATGGAAGCATTCTGAGAAACTTCTTTGTGATGTGTGCATTCATCAGAGAGAGTTTAACCTTTCTTTTGACTGAGCAGTTTTGAAACTCTCTTTTTGTAGAATCTGCAAGTGGACTTTGGAGACACTTGAGGCCTATTGTGGAAAATGGAATATCTTCACATAAAAGCTACACAGAAGCATTCTGAGAAACTTCTTTGTGATGTGCACATTCATCTCACAGATTTGAAAATTTCTTTTGATTGAGCAGTTTTGAAATGCTCTTTTTGGAGAATTGGCCAGTGGATATTTGGAGCGCTTTGAGGACTATGGTGGAAAAGGAAATATCTTCACATAAAAACTAGAGGAAACATTCTGAGAAACTTATTTGTGATGTGTGCATTCCTCTCACAGAGTTGAACATTTCTTTTGATTAAGCAGTTTTGAAACACTCTTTTTGTAGAATCTGCTAGAGGATATTTGGAGCACTTTGACGCCTATGGAGGAAAAGGAAATATCTTCACTTAAAAACTAGACAGAAGCATTCTGAGAAACTTCTTTGTGATGTTTGCATTCATCTCACAGAGTTGAAATTTTCTTTTGATTGAGCAATTTTGAGACACTCTTTTTGTAGAATCTGCCTGTGGATAATAGGAGTGCTTTGGGGCATATTTTGGAAAAGGAAATACCTTCACATAAATAGTAGACAAAAGCATTCTGAGAAACTTCTTTGTGATGTGTGCATATATATCACAGAGTTGAACCTTTCTTTTCATTTAGCCTTTTGAAACACTCTTTTTGTAGAATCTGCAAGTGGATATTTGGAGCGCTTTGCGGCCTATGGTGGAAAATAAATATCTTCACATAAAAACTAGACAGAAGCAATCTGAGAAACTTCTTTGTGATGTCTGCATTCATCTCACAGAGTTGAACATTTCTTTTGATTGAGCTGTTTTGAAACACTCTTTTTGTATAATCTGCAAGTGGATATTTAGAGCACTTTGAGGCGTATGGTGGAAAATGAAACATCTTCACATAAAAACTAGACAGCAGCATTCTGAGAAACTTCTTTGTAATGTGTGCATTCATCTCACAGAACTTAACCTTTCTTTTGATTGAGCAGTTTTGAAACACTCTTTTTGTAGAATCTGCAAATGGATATATGGATCGTTTTGAGGTCTACTGTGCAAAAGGATATATCTTCACATAAAAACTAGACAGAATCTTTCTGAGAAACTTCTTTGTGAGGTGCACATTCATCTTACAGTGGTGAACCTTTCTTTTGATTCAGCAGTTTTCAAACATTCTTTTTGTAGAATTTGCAAGCGGATATTTGGAGCGCTTAGGGGCCTATGGTGGAAAAGGAAATATCTCCACATAAAAACTTGATGGAAGCACTCTGAGAAACTTCTTTGATGTGTGCATTCAACTCACAGAGTAGAATCTTTCTTTTGATTTAGCAGTTTTGAAACACTCTTTTTGTAGAATCTGCAAGTGGATATTTGGAGCCCTTTGTGGCCCACAGTGGAAATGGAAATATCTTCACATAAAAACTAGACAGAAGCATTCTGAGAAAGTTCTTGGTGATGTGTGCATTCATCTCACAGAGTTAAATCTTTCTTTTGATTGCACAGTTTTGACACACTCCTTTGTAGAATCTGCAAGTGGATATTTGGAGTGCTTTAAGGCCTATTGTGGAAAAGGAAATATCATCACATAAAAACTACACAGAAGCATTCTGAGAAATTTCTTTGTGATGTGTGCATTCATCTCACAGAGTGGAACTTTCTTTTGATTGAGTAGTGTTGAAACACTCATTTTGTAGAATCTGCAGGAGGGTATTTGGAGCGCTTTGCTGCATACGGTGTAAAAGGAAGTATCTTCACATAAAAACTAGACGGAAGAATTATGAAAAACTTCTTTGTGATGTGCGCGTTCATGTGACAGAGTTGAACCTTTCTTTTGATTGAGCAGTTTTGAAACACTCTTTTTGTAGTATCTGTAAATGGATATTTGAAGCGGTTTGAGGTCTATGGTGTAAAAGGAAATATCTTCACATATAAACTAGACAGAAGCATTCTGAGAAATTTCTCTGTGATTTGTGCATTCATCTCACAGAGTTGAACCTTTCTTTTGATTGAGCAGTTTTGAAACACTCTTTTTGTAAAATCTGCAAGTGAATATTTGGAGTGCTTTTAGGCCTTTGGTGGAAAAGCAAATATCTTTGCATCAAAACTAGACAGATGCATTTTAAGAAACTTCTTTGTGATGTGTGCATTCATCTCACAGATTTAAACCTTTCCTTTGATTGAACAGTTTTGAAACACTGTTTTTGGTGAATCTGCAAGTGGATATTTGAAGCGCTTAGAGGCCTATGGTGTAAAACAAACCTATTCACATAAAAACTAGACAGAAGCATTCTGAGAAACTTCTCTGTGATGTGTGCACTCATCTCACAGAGTTGAACCTTTCTTTTCGTTGAGTAGTTTTGAAACACTCTTTTTGTAGCATCTGCAAATGTATATTTGGAGAAGTTTGCCTCCTATGGTGGAAAAGGAAATATCTTCACATAAAAACTAGACAGATGCATTCTGAGAAACTTCTTTGTGATGTGTGCATTCATCTCACAGAGGTGAACTTCTAGTGTTTTGGACTCATCCAAGCCTCAACATTAGCTTTAAGAGGTCCTTGATCTTTCCAGCAGGAGAAAAATGAACATGCAAAGCTCTCAGTCTCATTGTTATAATCCTCTCAAGGATCAGTCTCATTAGCAGACAGCAGAGTGTTGATCCCTTGTTTCACCAAACTAACCACTTGGCTGAGAGAAGTTGCTGTTAGTCCTAGGGGAAATTTTCATATCCGTTGCAAGCTCTTCAAGTATTTGTGTATTTTCCCCTTTCAGAAAGTTGTGTTTATCTCAGCATCCCATTGTCATCTCCAAAATTAAATAATTGTGAAGGATCTAAGATTTCATCCTATTTGTAAACAAACCTATTAACCTTCCATTTCCATGGATGCTGGTAGAAGGCATGAGACACTGAAGTATGAAAAAAATACCTACTATTTACTGTCTACCTGGAGGCAAAAGCCTCATATTTGTATTAGTTCTCCTTGTCCATACTACATTTTTTAGAGGGATTTCAAAAGGCTCAGATGGACATTGCACATGGGGAAGATTTGTGTCACAGCTGAGCAGGCTCAAGACTAAGAAACCTTAATCTTCTTAAAGTAGGTTACATGCAAACCTGTCCAAACTTTGCCTCACAGAGAAAAATTGTCTTTATTATATTGATTGAGTAATTTATCTGCCATTCACCTGAAGAGAAAAACTACTACCCTTTTTCCAGGTTATTTGTATACAAAAATCTTTGAAAAATAGCCTGGAACAGGACAGGTGTGTGAGGTAAGACATAACAAAACAACAAACTCTAAGATACTTTTGGAGAACTACATCTCAGTAGCATGCATCTTTTCCATAAAATGTTGCACTAAACAATCCTGTGATGAAAAACATCCATTGAAGATTTTTGACATGAAGACTAACTTTTGTTGTTTTGTGTTGTGGGATTGTTCAAGTGATTATCCTGTGTCAGCCTCCAAAGTAGCTGGAGGACAGGCTCCCACGGCCACACTCAGTTTATTTTTCTATTTTTAGTAGAGGCAGGGTTTTACCATGTTGGTCAGGCTGGTCTCGAACTCCTGATCTCAGGTAGTCGGCCTGCCTTGGTCTCACAAAGTGCTAGGAATATAGGCATGAGCCACCATGCCCGGCCCCAGAAATGAAAGTTCTATGTGTGCAGTAATGTAATTCTGACTGATAAATGACAGGTGAGGGTAAGTGAAAATCTAACACAATTCAACATTTTTACATATTTAGACACAGTGTAATTGGTTAGCTTATTGGAAAAAGTTAAATGACTACCAATTTGTACTGCATACTTATTCTGAATGAATTGCTAGTCTAGATTTGGAGATGAAATAATTATTTTTACAACACAGAAACATAAAGTGCATTTCCATATACCAACAATGAACAATTTGACAGTAAATTAATAAAACAATTGTTTGCAACAACATTAAAATAATACAATTCTTAGCAATAAATTTAATAAGAAGGTACATATTTTGTACAATAAAAAAACAGGATCAGAATATTTATGAAAAAAACTAAAAAGGACTTAAATAACTAGCAACAAATTCCATATTCCTGTACCGGAAGACTTAATGAAGTTAAGATGAAAATACTACCACCCAAAGTAGTGTACAGATGTACTGTAATCCCAATGTTTAATTTTTCCAACTTTTCTTTTGCAAAAACAAAATAATTCATTTAAAACTTCATATGAAATTTGAAAATCCTCTGAACGTACAGAATAATCTTGAAAAGAAGAACAAAATTAGATATTTCACAATTTTAAATTTGAAAACATACAAAGCTACTATAACAGTTTGCTAGTGGCATAAGAACAATTGTAGATATCAAATAAATAAAATAGATAATCCAAAAAACCCTTGCATAAATTATTGATTGTCTTTTGACAAGGGTGCCTTAATCATTATGTAAAGAAAAGGACAGTTTGTTCCACAATAAATGCTGGGAAAACAAGTCCACATTTAAACCAGTAAAGTTGAATCTTTATCACATTCCAAGTACAAAAATTAAATAAAAATAGATTAAAGACATAAGTGTTCAACTTTAGTGGTTTCTAATGGTTGTTTTTATTTATGTGGGGTCAGTACTAACATGAACACCTTTATACACACAAACTAGAAAACCTTAAAGAAATAGATACATTACTAGATATACACAATCTCCCAAGATTAAGCCAGGAAGACAATTATTTCCTGAATGGACCAATAAAAAGCTCTGATATTATATAGGTAATAAGTAGCTTGCCAATAAAAAAAATAAAAGCCCTGGACTTTATGGATTTACAGCCAAATTCTACCAAATGTACAAAGAAGAGCTGGTACAATTCCTACAGAAACTATCCCCAAAAATTGAGGAGGACGGTCTCCTCCTCAACTCATTCTATGACGACAGCATGATCTTGACACCAAAACCTTGCAGAGACACAACAAAAACACAAAATTAGCCGGGCTTGGTAGCAGACAACTGTAGTCCCAGCTACTTGGGAGGCTGAGGCAGGAGAATGGCATGAACCCAGGAGGCGGAGCTTGCATTAAGCAGAGATTGCGCCAGTGCACTCCAGCCTGGGCAACAGAGGGAGACTCTGTCAAAAAAAAAAAAAAAGAAAGAAAGAAAGAAAAGAAAGAAAGAAAGAAAGAAAGAAAGAAAGAAAGAAAAAAGAAAGAAAGAAAGAAAGAAAAGAAAACTTCAGGCCAATATTCTTGGCAAACATCAATACAAAAGTTCTCAGAAAAATATTTGTAAACCAAATCCAGCAGCGCATCAAACAGGTAATCCGTCATTATCAAGTAGGCTGCCTTCTTAGGATGCAAGGTTGGTCCAGCATGTGCAAATCAATAAATGTAATACATCACATAAACAGAACTAAAAACAAAAAACAAACGATTATCCCAATAGATGCAGAAAATAATAAAAGCCGTGTATAACAAACCCACAGCCAACAATCTGTTGAATGGGCAAAAGTTGGGAGCGTTTTTTTTTTGAAAACCAGCACAAGGCAAGAATGCCCTCTCTCACCATTTCTATTCAACATAGTATTGAAAGACCTGACCAGAGCAATCAGGCTAGAGAAAGAAATACAAAAAGCATCCAAATAGGAAGAGAGAAAGCCAAACTATTTCTGTTTGTAGATAACATAATTCTACATCTAGAAAACCCTGTAGTTTCAGCTACAAAGCTTCTTTAGTTAACATACAACTTCAGCGAAGTTTCAAGATACTAAATCAATGTGCAAAGATCACTAACATTTCTCTACACCAATGATAACCACACTGACAGCAAAATCAGAAAGGCCATACCATTCACAATTGCCACAAAAATAATAAAATACCTGGAAATGCAGCTCACCAGGGAGGTGAAAGAGCTCTACAATGAGAATTAAAAAACACTGCTCAAAGAAATCAGAGAAGACACAAACAAATGGAAAACCACCCCATGCTCATGGATAGGAAGATCCAATATGACTAAAATGGCTATACTTCACAAAGCAATTGACAGATTTAATGCTATTTCCATCAAACTGCCAATAAAATTTTTTACAGAGCTAGAAAAAACTATTTTAAAATTCCTATAGGCTGGGTGCAGTGGCTCACGCCTGTAATCCCAGCACTCTGGGAGGCCGAGGGGTGCAGATCATGAGGTCAGGAGATCGAGACCATCCTGGCCAACATGGTGAAACTCCTTCTCAACTAAAAATACAAAAAATAGCTGGGC
>NT_187449.1:0-7046 GCF_000001405.40 Homo sapiens | reverse complement strand
TGGATATTAGCCCTTTGTCAGATGAGTAGGTTGTGAAATTTTTCTCCCATTTTGTAGGTGCCTGTTCACTCTGACAGTAGTTTCTTTTGCTATGCAGAAGCTCTTTAGTTTAATTAGATCCCATTTGTCTATTTTGGCTTTTGTTGCCATTGCTTTTAGTGTTTTAGACATGACGTCCTTGCCCATGCCTATGTTCTGAATGGTAATGCCTAGGTTTTCTTCTAGGTTTTTTATGGTTTTAGGTCTAATATGTAAGTCTTTAATCCATCTTGAATTGATTTTTGTATAAGGTGTAAGGAAGCGATCCAATTTCAGCTTTCCACATATGGCTAGCCAGTTTTCCCAGCACCATTTATTAAATAGGGAATCCTTTCCCCATTTCTTGTTTTTCTCAGGTTTGTCAAAGATCAGATAGTTGTAGATATGCGGCATTATTTCTGAGGGCTCTGTTCTGTTCCATTGGTCTATATCTCTGTTTTGGTACCAGTACCATGCTGTTTTGGTTACTGTATCCTTGTAGTATAGTTTGAAGTCAGGTAGTGTGATGCCTCCAGCTTTGTTCTTTTGGCTTAAAATTGACTTGGCGATGCCAGCTCTTTTTTGGTTCCATAGGAACTTTAAAGTAGTTTTTTCCAATTCTGGGAAGAAAGTCATTGGTAGCTTGATGGGGATGACATTCAATCTATCAATTACCTTGGGCAGTATGGCCATTTTCACGATATTGATTCTTCCTACCCATGAGCATGGAATGTTCTTCCATTTGTTTGTATCCTGTTTTATTTCAATGAGCAGTGGTTTGTAGTTCTCCGTGAAGAGGTCCTTCACATCCCTTGTAAGTTGGATTCCTAGGTATTTTATTCTCTTTGAAGACATTGTGAATGGGAGTTCACTCATGATTTGGCTCTCTGTTTTTCTGTTGTTGGTGTATATGAATGCTTGTGATTTTTGTATGTTGATTTTGTATCCTGAGACATTGCTTAATTTGCTTATCAGCTTAAGGAGATTTTGGGCTGAGACAATGGGGTTTTCTAGATATACAATCATGTTGTCTGCAAACAGGGACAATTTGACTTCCTCTTTTCATAATTGAATACCCTTTATTTCCTTCTCCTGCCTGATTGCCCTGGCCAGAACTTCCAACACTATGTTGAATAGGAGTGGTGAGAGAGAGCATCCCTGTCTTGTGCCAGTTTTCAAAGGGAATGCTTCCAGTTTCTGCCCATTCAGTATGAATGGGTTTGGCATAGATATCTCTTATTATTTTGAGATACGTCCCATCAATACCTAATTTATTGAGAGTTTTTAGTATGAAGTGTTGTTGAATTTTGTCAAAGGCCTTTTCTTCATCTATTGAGATAATCATGTCGTTTTTGTGTTTGGTTCTGTTTCTATGCTGGATTACATGTATTGATTTGCCTATATTGAACCAGCCTTGCATCCTGAGAATGAAGCCCACTTGATTATGTTGGATAAGCTTTTTGATGTGCTGCTGGATTCGGTTTGTCAGTATGTTATTGAGGATTTTTGCATCAATGTTCATCGAGTATGTTAGTTTAAAATTCTCTTTTTTGGTTGTGTCTCTGCCAGGCTTTGGTATCAGGATGATGTTGGCCTCATAAAATGGGTTAGGGAGGATTCACTCTTTTTCTATTGATTGGAATAGTTTCAGAAGGAATGGTACCAGTTCCTCCTTGTACCTCCGGTAGAATTCGGCTGTGAATCCATCTGGTCCTGGACTCCTTTTCGTTGGTAAGCTATTGATTATTGCCACAACTTCAGCTCCTGTTTTTGTTGTATTCAGAGATTCAACTTCTTCCTGGTTTAGTCTTGGGAGAGTGTATGTGTCGACTAATTTATCAATTTCTTCTAGATTTTCTAGTTTATTTGCACAGAGGTGTTTGTAGTATTCTCTGATGGTAGTTTGTATTTCTATGGGATTGGTGGTGATATCCCTTTTATCATTGTTTATTGTGTCTATTTGATTGTTCTCTTTTTTTCTTTATTAGTCTTGCTAGTGGTCTATCTTTTTTTGATCCTTTCAAAAAACCAGCTTAAGGAGCTCTTTTAGGGCAGACCTGTTGGAGACAAAATCTCTCACCATTTGCGTGTCTGTAAAGTATTTTATTTCTACTTCATTTATGAAGCTTAGTTTGGCTGGAAATGAAATTCTGGGTTGAAAATTCTTTTCTTTAAGAATGTTGAATATTGGCCCCCAGATGTTAGTCTGATGGGCTTCCCTTTGTGGGTCACCCAACCTTTCTCTCAGGCTGCCCTTAACATTTTTTCATTCATGTCAACTTTGGTGAATCTGACAATTATGTGTCTTGGAGTTGCTATTCTCGAGGAGTACGTTAGTGGACTTCTATGTATTTTCTGAATTTGAATGTTGGCCTGTCTTGCTAGATTGGGGAAGTTCTCCTGGATAATATCCTGCAGAGTGTTTTCCAATTTGGTTCCATTCTACCCGTCACTTTCAGGTACACCAATCAGACATAGATTTGGTCTTTTTACATAGTCCCGTATTTCTTGGAGGCTCTGTTCATTTCTTTTTATTCTTTTTTGCTAAACTTCTCTTCTCTCTTCATTTCATTCCTTTTGTCTTCCATCACTGATACCCTTTCTTCCAGTTGATCGCATCGGCTACTGAGGCTTCTGCATTCATCACGTAGTTCTCATGCCTTGGTTTTCAGCTCCATCAGGTCCTTTAGGGACTTCTCTGCATTGGTTATTCTAGTGACCCATTCATCTATTTTTTTTTCAAAGTTTTTATCTTCTTTGCCATTGGTTCGAATCTCCTCCTGTAGCTCAGAGAAGTTTGATCATCTGAAGCCTTCTTGTCTCCACTCATCGAAGTCATTCTCCATCCAGCTTTGTTCCATTGCTGGTAAGGAGCTGTGTTCCTTTGGAGGCGGAGAGGTGCTCTGAAGTTTAGAGTTTCCAGTTTTTCTGTTCTATTTGTTTCCCATCTTTGTGGTTTTATCTAACTTGGGCTTTGATGATGGTTATGTACAGATGGGTTTTTGGTGTGAATGTCCTTTCTGTTTATTAGTTTTCCTTCTAACAGTTGGGACCCTCAGCTGCAGGTCTGTTGGAGTTTACTGGAGGTCCATTCCAGACCCTGTTTGCCTGCTTATCAGCAGCGCTCACTGCAGAACAGCAGATATTGGTGAACTGCAGATGCTGCTGCCTGATTGTTCCTCTGGAAATTTTGTCTCAAAAGAGTACCAGGCTGTGTGAGGTTTCAGTCCAACCATACTTGGGGGTGCCTCCCAGTTAGGCTACTCAGGAGTCAGGGACCCACTTGAGGAGGCAGTCTGTCCATTCTCAGATCTCAAGCTGCAAGCTGGGAGAACCACTACACTCTTCAAAGCTGTCAGAGAGGGATATTTAAGTCTGCAGCGGTTACTGCTGTCTTTTTGTTTGTCTGTGCCCTGCCCCCAGAGGTGGAGCCTACAGAGGCAGGCAGGCCTCCTTGAGCTGTGGTGGGCTCCACCCAGTTCCCGCTTCCTGGCCACTTTGTTTACGTACTCATGCCTTAGCAATGGCGGGCATCCCTCCCCCAGCCTCACTGCCACTTTGCAGTTTGATCTTAGACTGCTGTGCTAGCAATGAGTGAGGCTCCGTGGACGTAGGACTCTCTGAGCCAGGTGCAGGATATAATCTCCTGGTGTGACATTTTTTAAGCCTGTTGGAAAAGCACAGTGTTAGGTTGGGAGTGACCCGATTTTCCAGATGCCATCTGTCACCACTTTCTTTGACTAGGAAAGGGAATTCCCTGACCCCTTGCACTTCGCTGGTGAGGCAATGCCTTGCCCTGCTTCGGCTCATGCACGGTGCACTGCACCCACTGTCTGGCACTCCCCAGTGAGTTGAACCTGGTAACTCAGTTGGAAATGCAGAAATCACCCGTCTTCTGCGTCACTCACACTGGGAGCTGTAGAGCGGAGCTGTTCCTATTCGGCCTTCTTGGCTCCTCCCCCCCACATTCATTTTAAGGATAAATAATATTCTGTTGTGTGTATATACCATATTTTCTTCATCTGTTTGACTCTTAGAAGATATCTGGATTTCTTTTTAAATTTTTTACTGTAAATGATGCTGCTATAAAATTTGGTTTGAAAGTATCAGTGCAGAAGTGAATAAAATTTTAAAACCTGAACACATTTCTGCATGCAGTTCTTAGATTGAATAATGGAGTCCAGGCATGGTGGTTCACACTTGTAATCCCAAAACTTTGGGAGGCTGAGGCAGGCAGATCACTTAAGCTCAGGAGTTCGAGACCAGCCATGGAAACATGGCAAAACCCCATCTCTACTAAAAATTCAAAAATTAGCTGGGCATTGTGGTGCTTGCTTGTAGTCCCAGCTATTTGGGAGACTGAGGCACAAGGATCACTTAATTTTCATTTCTCTAACTATCATTGATTCTGAGCTTTTTCTCATACACTTGTTGGCCTCATGTATGTCTTCTTTCGAAAACTGTCCGTTCATGTCTTTGCCCACTTTTTAATGGGGTTGTTTTTCTTTTGTAAATTTAAGTTCCTTATAGATGCTAGATATTAGACCTTTGTTAGATGGATAGTTTACAAATATTTTTTTTTCCACTCCATAGGTTTTCTGTTTACTCTGTTAATAGTTTTTTTTTTCTGCTATGCAAAATCTCTTTACTTTAATTAAATCCTACTTGTTAATTTTTGCTTTTCTTGCTGTTGCTTTTGGTCTTTCTATCATGAAATCTTTGCCCATTCCTATATCCAGGATGGTATTGCCTGGATTGTCTTTCATGGTTTTTATACATAAAGATTTTATATTTAAGTCTTCAATCAGTCTTGAGTTGATTTTTTTTTGTATATGATGTAAATAAGGGGTCCAGCTTCAATCTTCCACATGTTGCCAGCCAATTATTCCAGCACCACTTATTGAATAAATAATCTTTTTCTCATTGCTTGTTTTTGTCAGCCTTGTCAATTATCACATGGCATAGATGTGCAGCCTTGTTTCTGGGCTCTCTATTCTGCTCCATTTGTCTATGTGTCTGTTTTTATCAATATTATGCTGTTTTCGTTACTATAGCCCTGTAGTGTAATTTGAAGCCAGGCAACCTGATGCCTGCAGCTTTGTTCTTTTTTGCTTAGGATTGCCTTGACTATGTGTGCTCCTTTTTGGTTTCATATATATAATTTTTTTTTGATGGAATGTCACTCTGTCATCAGGCTGGAGTGCAGTGGTGCAATCTCAGCTCACTGCAACCTCTGACTACCTGGTTCAATGGATTCTCCTGCCTCAGCCTCCCGAGTAGCTGGGATTACAAGCGCTTGCCACTACACCCAGCTATTAAAAAATTAGTTGAGAAGGAGTTTCACCATGTTGGCCAGGATGGTCTCGATCTCCTGACCTCATGATCTGCAGCCCTCGGCCTCCCAGAGTGCTGGGATTACAGGCGTGAGCCACTGCACCCAGCCTATAGGAATTTTAAAATAGTTTTTTCTAGCTCTGTAAAAAATTTTATTGGCAGTTTGATGGAAATAGCATTAAATCTGTCAATTGCTTTGTGAAGTATAGCCATTTTAGTTATATTGGATCTTCCTATCCATGAGCATGAGGTGGTTTTCCATTTGTTTGTGTCTTCTCTGATTTATTTGAGCAGTGTTTTGTAATTCTCACTGTAGAGCTCTTTCACCTCCCTGGTGAGCTGCATTTCCAGGTATTTTATCATTTTTGTGGCAATTGTGAATGGGATGGCCTTTCTGATTTTGCTGTCAGTGTGGTTATCATTGGTGTAGAGAAATGTTAGTGATCTTTGCACATTGATTTAGTATCTTGAAAATTCGCTGAAGTTGTTTGTTAACTAAAGAAGCTTTGTACCTGAAACTACAGGGTTTTCTAGATATAGAATTATGTTATTTGCAAACAGAAATAGTTTGGCTTTCTCTCTTCCTATTTGGATGCTTTTTGTATTTCTTTCTCTAGCCTGATTGCTCTCGTCAGGACTTTCAATACTATGTTGAATAGAAATGGTGAGAGAGGGCATTCTTGCCTTGTGCTGGTTTTCAGAAAAAAAGCTCCCAACTTTGCCCATTCAACAGATTGTTGGCTGTGGGTTTTTTATACACGGCTTTTATTACTTTCTGCATCTATTGGGATAATCGTCTGTTTTTTGTATTTAGTTCTGTTTATGTGATGTATTACATTTATTGATTTGCACATGCTGGGCCAACCTTGCATCCTAAGGAGGCAGCCTACTTGATAATGACGGATTACCTGTTTGATGTGCTGCTGGATTTGGTTTACAAATATTTTTCTGAGAACTTTTGTATTGATGTTTGTGAAGAATATTGGCCTGAAGTTTTCTTTTCTTTCTTTCTTTTTTTTTTTTGATGGAGTCTCCCTCTGTTGCCCAGGCTGGAGTGCACTGGTGCAATCTCTGCTTAATGCAAGCTCCGCCTCCTGGGTTCATGTCATTCTCCTGCCTCAGCCTCCCAAGTAGCTGGGACTACAGGTGTCTGCTACCAAGCCCGGTTAATTTTGTGTTTTTGTTGTGTCTCTGCCAGGTTTTGGTGTCAAGATCATGCTGTCCTTATAGAATGAGTTGGGGAGGAGACCGTCCTCCTCAATTTTTGGGGATAGTTTCTGTAGGAATTGTACCAGCTCTTCCTTGTACATTTGGTAGAATTTGGCTGTAAATCCATAAAGTCCAGGGCTTTTATTTTTTTGATTGGCAAGCTACTTATTACCTATATAATATCAGAGCTTTTTATTGGTCCATTCAGGAAATAATTGTCTTCCTGGCTTAATCTTGGGAGAGTGTGTATATCTAGTAATGTATCCATTTCTTTAAAGTTTTCTAGTTTGTGTGTATAAAGGTGTTCATGTTAGTACTGACCCCACATAAATGAAAACAACCATTAGAAACCACTAATGTTGAACACTTATGTCTTTAATCTATTTTTATTTAATTTTTGTACTTGGAATGTGATAAAGATTCAACTTTACTGGTTTCAATGTGGACTTGTTTTCCCAGCATTTATTGTGGAACAAACTGTCCTT
>NT_187448.1:0-1553 GCF_000001405.40 Homo sapiens | reverse complement strand
AGCAACTCCCAAGACACATAATTGTCAGATTCACCAAAGTTGAAATGAATGAAAAAATGTTAAGGGCAGCCTGAGAGAAAGGTTGGGTGACCCACAAAGGGAAGCCAATCAGACTAACATCTGGGGGCCAATATTCAACATTCTTAAAGAAAAGAATTTTCAACCCAGAATTTCATATCCAACCAAACTAAGCTTCATAAATGAAGTAGAAATAAAATACTTTACAGACACGCAAATGCTGAGAGATTTTGTCTCCAACAGGCCTGCCCTAAAAGAGCTCCTTAAGCTGGTTTTTTGAAAGGATCAAAAAAATGATAGACCACTAGCAAGACTAATAAAGAAAAAAAGAGAAGAATCAAATAGACACAATAAACAATGATAAAAGGGATATCACCACCGATCCCATAGAAATACAAAGAACCATCAGAGAATACTACAAACACCTCTGTTCAAATAAACTAGAAAATCTAGAAGAAATTGGTAAATTAGTCGACACATACACTCTCCCAAGACTAAACCAGGAAGAAGTTGAATCTCTGAATAGAACAAAAACAGGAGCTGAAGTTGTGGCAATAATCAATAGCTTACCAACTAAAAGGAGTCCAGGACCAGATGGATTCACAGTCGAATTCTACCGGAGGTACAAGGAGGAACTGGTACCATTCCTTCTGAAACTATTCCAATCAATAGAAAAAGAGCGAATCCTCCCTAACCCATTTTATGAAGCCAGCATCATCCTGATACCAAAGCCTGGCAGAGACACAACCAAAAAAGAGAATTTTAAACTAATATACTCGATGAACATTGATGCAAAAATCCTCAATAACATACTGACAAACTGAATTCAGCAGCACATCAAAAAGCTTATCCAACATGATCAAGTGGGCTTCATTCTCAGGATGCAAGGCTGGTTCAATATAGGCAAATCAATAAATGTAATCCAGCATAGAAACAGAACCAAAGACAAAAACCACATGATTATCTCAATAGATGAAGAAAAGGTCTTTGACAAAATTCAACAACACTTCATACTAACAACTCTCAATAAATTAGGTATTGATGGGACGTATCTCAAAATAATAAGAGCTATCTATGCCAAACCCACAGCCAATATCATACGGAATGGGCAGAAACTGGAAGCATTCCCTTTGAAAACTGGCACAAGACAGGGATGCCCTCTCTCACCACTCCTATTCAACATAGTGTTGGAAGTTCTGGCCAGGGCAATCAGGCAGGAGAAGGAAATAAAGGGTATTCAATTATGAAAAGAGGAAGTCAAATTGTCCCTGTTTGCAGACAACATGACTGTATATCTAGAAAACCCCATTGTCTCAGCCCAAAATCTCCTGAAGCTGATAAGCAACTTCAGCAAAGTCTCAGGATACAAAATCAACGTACAAAAATCACAAGCATTCTTATACACCAATAATAGACAAACAGATAGCCAAATCATGAGTGAACTCCCATTCACAATGTCTTCAAAGAGAATAAAATACCTAGAATCCAACTTACAAGGGATGTGAAGGACCTCTTCGCGGAGAACTACAAACTAC